>NC_000010.11:86658246-86809761 GCF_000001405.40 Homo sapiens
GAGGTGATTTGCTGCTTCTGGGCAGAGAGTGGGTAGCTGCCCTCAGTCCTGTGAGTAAGCAAGAAGGGAAGATGCAGTGTTGGTCCTAAGGCCTCTGCCAGCCTTGGCCAGATGTGGCAGGTGGAGGGGGTGGAGTGCGCTCAGTCCTGCTCTTCCTGTGAGGTGAAGGCCAGAGCAGAGTCTACCCTGTCCCCAGACCCTCCTCCCCAGGACTCAGAGCAGGGGCTGTGCCCACAGGCTGCGAGTTCTATGCCTTCTGTGGAGCTCTCTTTGGCATTTCCTCCATGATCACCCTGACGGCCATCGCCCTGGACCGCTACCTGGTAATCACACGCCCGCTGGCCACCTTTGGTGTGGCGTCCAAGAGGCGTGCGGCATTTGTCCTGCTGGGCGTTTGGCTCTATGCCCTGGCCTGGAGTCTGCCACCCTTCTTCGGCTGGAGTAAGTGGGCTGCTGGAACTGGAAGGGGGGCAGATGGGCTGGGAGGGGCACATTCAAGGGGAAGTAGGTGGACTTGGGTCAGCCAGCTGGCGGGAGCAGGGTGCCCAGGAGCTACCTGAGCCTCAGGTGAGATGGACATTCAGGGGACATGACTGGCAGCAAGGGAAACTGACACTGCCCCATCAGGGGCCAAAGGATCTCCTGGGCAACTGATCCCAAAATACAAAGGCTTTCTGGGCGGGGCAAAGTGACAGGTACTTCTGATGCTGTGTCAGACTAGGCAGGGGGCTGGGGTGTGAGGACTCTGAAGGTGGAACGGTGGAGAGCAAGGTAGTAGCCCTCCTGGGGTAAGACCAGGCCTCTGGCTGAAGCCCTGGCAAGCAAAACCTTGAAGTTATGGTGAGCTTTCTGCTCAAATCTAGCAGGAATGGGAGGCAGTGGGCTTTGCAGGCCATCCCAGTTCCCTCCAGCTTCCTCACTGCATGGGACAGGGCCAGGTCAGGGCCAGGGCTGTGTATGGGGACCCGAATGCCACATACAAAGCTCCTGCCAGATAAGGAGCCGTGGTCAGTGCCGCCCCAAAGGCTGAGCACCTGCCCTGGCTCCCAGGCGCCTACGTGCCCGAGGGGTTGCTGACATCCTGCTCCTGGGACTACATGAGCTTCACGCCGGCCGTGCGTGCCTACACCATGCTTCTCTGCTGCTTCGTGTTCTTCCTCCCTCTGCTTATCATCATCTACTGCTACATCTTCATCTTCAGGGCCATCCGGGAGACAGGACGGTAAGAGCCGAGCATGGAGGGGGGCTACAGGAGGGGGACCGGCCCCTCGGCCAGGCGGCCCCTGCCCCACCACTCACACCTGCACCAGCCTACCAGAGCATGACCAGTGGGTGAAGGCAAGCTGAGCAAGTGCTTATGGGGCAGCAGTGTCTAGGGGAGCCTCAGGAGACAAGGGCTTCTGGGGCGGGCTTTTCGGCATGGCAGAGGGAGGAGAGAAGGCACACAGAATCAAGAGGGAGTAGGGGGCAGCTGAGACCTCATGTCACAGAAAACTTTCTGGAAGTCAGGGCTGCCTGCACTGGAAGGAATGACACTCTCACGAGTGCCCTGCAAGGATAGTCCAGAGAGGCTCCCCAACAGCAGCCGTGACCCTGGTGCTGACTGCCACCCGACTAGGGTCAGACCTGGACGATGCGTCCTTCCTAGGGCTCTCCAGACCTTCGGGGCCTGCAAGGGCAATGGCGAGTCCCTGTGGCAGCGGCAGCGGCTGCAGAGCGAGTGCAAGATGGCCAAGATCATGCTGCTGGTCATCCTCCTCTTCGTGCTCTCCTGGGCTCCCTATTCCGCTGTGGCCCTGGTGGCCTTTGCTGGGTAAGCAGTGGCTAAAGGGTTGGGGAAGAGGCTGAAGGTGTGGGGGCAGGAGCAAGAAGCCTGGCCAGCCTCTCCTTCCCAGCCCAACCCCGGCCAGCCATCCTCGCACCCTAGGACCAGCTTCACAGCTTATTCTCTCCCTGGGTAAGGTGCCCAGCCCCGGGGTGGGTGGGGGGCCACCTAGTTCCTGGAAGCACCAGGGCACATGCAGAGGAGCTCTGGGCCCCACAAAGCTTTGGGCGGACGGCCTGCCAGCCCCCTTTGGAACACACAGTTCCTCTTGAGGTCTCCTCCCTCTCTGCATGGGCTGTGGTTACATGACCAGAGGTGCTGCCCATCTCCAGGAATGGGTCCCTGAGAGCTGCCCTTCTAGCCCTTTGTGGCTAGAGTCTGGGGATTGTGACATCTGCAGCAGCACAGATGCATGCTCAACTTCAGAAGTGTTTTTGAGAAGTGAGGGCTATTAAACCCTGGAAGTGTTTAGATAGGAGACCTTCTTGTGGAGGAATGGCCTGGTCCCCCCAGGGCCCTACTGTGGGGTTTCTCTACAATAGCCAGGGCAAGAGAGGGCATCACGGTTGGGGTGGGGTGTGAGAAGAGCTAGGCAGAGGGTGCAAGGGCCAGAGTCAATGGGGGGAAGTGGGATATCGCCAGCAGCACAGGCTCCAAGGAACAGTGGACCTGGGAACCTCCACCCCAAATTCGGCACATCTTCCTTCCAGAGCTGCACCCTCAACCACCCACTGCTCCCTCCTACTCACTCAGATCAGAATTCTCCTGGCATAGGCCAGGCATGGTGGCTCACGCCTGTAATCCCAGCACTTTGGGAGGCCAAGGCAAGTGGATTACCTGAGGTCAGGAGTTCGAGATTAGCCTGGCCAAAATGGTGAAACCCCGTCTCTACTAAAAATACAAAAATTAGCCAGGTGTGGTGACGGGCACCTGTAGTCCCAGCTACTCCGGAGGCTGAGGCAGAAGAATTGCTTGAATTCAGGAAGCAGAGGTTGCAGTGAGCTGAGATCACACCACTGCCACTCCAGCATGGGCGACAGAGCAAAAAAAAAAAAATTATCCTGGCACTGCCAATTCCTCCCTATGGGGCTGACTTAGCTGTGCTGGTTTGGGCTGGATTAGGATTTGGGCTTTGGCAGGGCCTGGCCCAGAAGAGAAGGTGTGTCAGGAGGGCCAGCTAGCTTGGGGACCACACCTTCTCTGTCCTAGGTACGCACACGTCCTGACACCCTACATGAGCTCGGTGCCAGCCGTCATCGCCAAGGCCTCTGCAATCCACAACCCCATCATTTACGCCATCACCCACCCCAAGTACAGGTGTGGCTCTTTTCCAGAACCCCACACCTTGGCCTCCAAGGGCCTGGCCTGCCGATGGGGGCAGAGGCCACCACCTTTCTGTCTCTCGTGTGTGTGTAGAATGGGGGCCACCAGCAGCTGGGAGCGGCCAATGACACTGAGTGGGGTCTGGAGTTGGTGTGCCTCCCTCCCCCGCCCCAGCTTCCCAGGGGTCACGGTGTGGAGGGAGGTCAGGGTTCCCTGGGCAGTGTCCAGTCCTAACTATGGGACCTTCAGACCTGGCGTGTAGGGCAGCCAGGACAGCCCTGTGAATTTAAGCACCCCCCCGCCCCGCCCTCCCCGACAGTGTCATCCTGAAGAAATCACAGCAGGGAGAGCTCAGCTCTGCTCCCAGGGCCTGGCAGGAGCCTGGGGTGGCTCTGGGCCAGTATGCATGCTGATAGCAACCCGGCAAGGCTGCTTCTCCCTTAGTGCTTCCTTTTGCCTGGTGATGTCAGTCACTCACCACCTTCCCAAGGCCAGTGGCAGGCCTGAGCCCGTCCAGCACAGAGGCTGCTCCAGAGTGTCCCTGGTCTCCATTACCAGAGATGTGGCTTGAGCCAGCCACTGAGGGCTGGAACCAACATCCCCAGGCTCTCCCTGCATGCCTACCACCCAGAATCTCTCTGTCCCTCCCACCAGCCTTGTGAGCCTCTCAATCTCCCCACCCAGCATCTGTCTTTCTGTCCTCATCACCTGCCATGGTTCCCAGGGTCTGAGCCTCCCCATTTCCCCAGAGGCTCTCGGTCACCGCACATTAGGCCTGTACCAGCCTGTGCACCCATCCCCTCCCCTGCATCTGTCTGCCCATCCCCTGGCCCTAATCAGATGTGCGGCCCCTGCAGGGTGGCCATTGCCCAGCACCTGCCCTGCCTGGGGGTGCTGCTGGGTGTATCACGCCGGCACAGTCGCCCCTACCCCAGCTACCGCTCCACCCACCGCTCCACGCTGACCAGCCACACCTCCAACCTCAGCTGGATCTCCATACGGAGGCGCCAGGAGTCCCTGGGCTCGGAGAGTGAGGTGGTAAGGATGCTGGGCCCTCACCAGCTTGCGCCTGGCCATCCCTTCCTCAGGCAGCCCTGGGGCTCTGGGGAATACATAGGCCCTGGCAGGGCTGCCTCTGAGACTCAGGGACACTGAGGACGCTGGCACCCTGGCAGGAAGAGCCCCTCCCAACACCCCCATGAAGTTCGTAATCCTCCCTGATAGGCAGGGGCACTAGGGCCAGAGCGGGGATGGTTTGGGGGTTCCCAGGAGCGGGGCCAGGATTGAACACAGGTCTTCCAACTCCAGGCCATCCTTTTCCATGCTGACACTCTCCCTAGAGCCGCAGCCTGAAGAGATCAGCACATCTGGCTCTAGATAGGGCTCCAGAGAGACAAGGCAGGAGTTAGCTTGGAGCTCCTTGCTCCTCAGCATTAAGCCCCCTCCTCCTGGGAGACTTGAAGAGCTCACGGGATGGGCATGGGCCCTGGAGATGGGAGATGTGGCTTTGAGCCTCAGCTTACCATGTGCTCACTGTGGGAGCCTGGGCAGGTCACTTACTCCCTCTGAGGCTCCACGTCCTCCTCTGAAAGGGAAAAGAGGCTTCTCAGATCAACGCTGTCCAGGTGTGCCCAGGGATGGGTGTCAACCTTCCTCGGGGCCAGGTGTGCCCAGGGATGGGTGTCAGCCCTCCTCAGGGCCTGCAGCTCTGCTTCCCCTAGATGTCCCCAGGAAAGCTCCGTGCGCCACCGGCTCCTGTTCCCACCACACTTGGGCTCCTCCTTAATTCTACCTACAGAGCCCTCTATGGGCCTCAGCAAGACTGCCGCCAACTGACCGGCCAGCGATCTCCTCCCACTGCCCACATCCCTGGGGTTCTCGGTTGAGGGACTGAGAGAGGAGCTGTCAGAGGTCCCTCCTGTAAACCACTGTAGTGAATAACAAGGAGAAATCTAATCTGTTATTGGAGGCCTAGACCCTCGTGAAGACCACCCATCTATTCAAAAATATAAATAGCCACTTTCTTAGCAAGGTGTGCCGGTGTGCAGATGGGGAGCAAACCTGCACACACATACACACACCCTAGGACAGGCATGCACAATTTACGGGGTTTATTTGGTGACCGGCAACGGTGCAAATGGTGTCAGGGGCCTCCCGCAATGAATACCTGTTGGGAGGATGAAGGAGGGCCTGGTGGGGTAAGGGCAGGAGCAAAGCTACGGACTGTCCCTCTCACCTCACAGTCACTCTCTCACCTCCCTCAGGGCTGGACACACATGGAGGCAGCAGCTGTGTGGGGAGCTGCCCAGCAAGCAAATGGGCGGTCCCTCTACGGTCAGGGTCTGGAGGACTTGGAAGCCAAGGCACCCCCCAGACCCCAGGGACACGAAGCAGAGACTCCAGGGAAGGTGACTGGGCCCGGTACCTGCCAATCCACAAAGGGGTGGGGGTTAGGGGCCAGTAGCCCAGGGAGAGGCCAGGAAAGAGAGACTTGTTCTCATGGGCAGGGGCGATATCCTCCAGGAATCACCTGCTCCCAGCACCTCCCAGCTTTTCCTTGTCTGCCTGGGGTTCTCTGTGACTCTGAGATGCTCTGAGCAGGGCCTGCATATGGTCTGCACATGTGTGTGTGTGTGTGTGATCATGCAACTCTGACTCTGCATGGTGCTGTTGGCTGTGCTGTGGCATGATAAGAGTACATGTGTGTGTTGATGAGGGTAGGAGGTCTGCAGCCGTCAGAGCATAGCTCGAGCATGTGTGTGGCCATGTGCCCAGCACATGCTCCATCACTGTAGCACCTGGCACATGCTCTGTCACTGTAACACCCAGTGACACGTGACTAAGCATGCCCTAATGTGTCTGCTTTAAGCTGTGCATGTGACTGAGTGTGGGTGGTATGTACCTCTCTGTGTGACTGCGAGGTTGGACATACCTGGGGAGGAAGGGGCTGTAAGCTGTGGATGTGCTCACCATAAATGCCCTAAGATCAGGATGTCACCCGGAATACTTGTGGCTATTAAAAGAAGGCCAGCTGTCGGCCCAAGTGCCTATGGAACGGAATGTTGATGGCGATTAGAGAAGGCCATATTCTGGAACACTGGAAATGTCGTGTGCACAGGCTCCCAAGCAGCCCTTCGCCCCAGCTGACAGCTCCCCATCTGCCCCTCCTGTCACACCCACACAACACCCTCAGCTCAGCTCCTGGGCTCTCTCCAGCTTCCCTAGCTAGTCCAAGGCCAAAGGCACATTCCTGCCTGCCTTTCTTCCTGAGTGCTGTGCCCCTGTGCATCCAAGAACGAAAGCCCTGGGCTGTACCTGCAGTCGGGGAGCCTCAGCCTCCCTCAGCATTCCCCCCGGGGGCCCCGCACCCTGTCCTGGAGCCCAGGCACTGTGCATGCCATAAACGCCAGGACAAAGGCCTGGCAGTGACCCCCAGGCTGGCCAGGCACTGATGAAAGACACAGTGCCTGTCTTGGAGGGATAGGCTCAGGGGGGTTGCTGGGCAGCCATCAACAATCACCAAACACATGTGATAAGCGCTGCCATTGAGGTGTGAGCACGCAGGGTACTGAAAGCAGAGGCAAGTCCCTGAGGTTCCCCAGGAAGATAGAGGTGAAGCAGGGATCTGCAGGCAGCAGGGGTGGGGAGTGGGGGGAGCACTGAGCTGTCCAGGATGAGGATACAGCCTGTGTGACTGTGCAAACACAGGGGCACAGGGGAGGGAGCTCAATATGTCCTGGAACAGGATGTCTCTCTGTGACCCTGGGAGCAGCCAGAGGGACCCTGGGGATTGGCAGTGGGGGACATAGGAGAAGGGAAGAGGAGGCGGAGGTGGTAGGAGCAGTGGGAAGGCCCCATCAGGGACTGGCTTAGGTGTCTCCAGACCTGACCTGGGGACAGGAAGCCCTGGGAGGGGGTTGGTTAGCTTTGCAGGGTGAAGACCAAAGAAGGAAGTGCTGCAGGGCAGGAAAGGGATGACCCATTTAAGGACAGCAGGAGCGGGGGTGATGCCAGAGTCTCCACATGTGGAAGAGAGGAGCGGATTGGATGGTGGGGGTGAGGATGGGTTCAGTTGTGACCCCGGGAGTCAAGAGCCCGGGGAGCATCCCAGGAGATGCTCTGTAGGCAGCGTTAGGCGTTACCAGCTCTTACTCTGGGATGTGGACTCTGGGAAGGCCCATCCCTGACCCAGGACACAACCTGGCCCTTCCATGCAACCTCCCCCACTGCTCGGTGACCCAGTGTGTGGAGGGTCATCGGGAGACTGCCCCCAGTGAACTGCTCCTCAGCTAAACAGATGTGTGCTGTTTGTTTGCAGACCAAGGGGCTGATCCCCAGCCAGGACCCCAGGATGTAGGACGCCCACTGGCTCTCCCTTTCTTCTGAGACACATCCAGCCCCCCCACGTCTCCCTCATATACACAGACCCAGGATTATGCTGTGAGCCTGCAGGCTTTGGAAGTGGCCCTGTCACCCGTGCTGCACGGGATTCACAGCCCCAGCCCCATGGCCCCTCTCCACACCTCAAAACTCCTGCCCCATAACGTCCTCCGCATCCACTTTCCAGCTCAGCAGCCGCACCCGAGGCTCAGCCTGAGGGGTATGTGCCCAGGCCCTCCCACTTCCCGAGTTGTCTGCCTCTCCTCAAATGCTGTGTGCTGCAATTGTCCAGGCGATGACAATGGTGATGGCTCCAGAGAACACACCAGCTATTTATGAGCCTCTGCCCCCAGGCTGGGCCTGTCACTGGCATAGGAAGGCCAGCCCCGCATCTCCCACTGCCAACAGCTGAAGCCGAGCACAGACCTCCCTTTGCACGCTGGAACAGTTACTCACCTGTGGCTTCTTCCCCCAGTGTACCGTTCCACTGTGGCCCACATTCTTGTGCACGCGGGCATTTGCAGGCACGCTCTCGCGTAGTTACCTATCTGAATGCACACCAAGCACATGCGTGCACACTCTGCGTCTGTGATTCATTTCATGTAGTGGTCTAAGCTCCTCCCAGGGCTGTGTGGATCTGACAGGGTATAGGAAAATAAAAAGCGGAGAAGGTGTCTTCAGACAAATATGGTCTCTACGTGTTGGTGCTGCTATGGGAGAGAGAACCAGGGCCTGGCCTCTGATGCCTCCAGCAACTTCACTTCCTCTCCTTCCTCTGTCCCCACTCTTGGGACTCTCACTCTGAGGCCCACCTCAAACTGCAAGGAGTACAGCAGAGAAGGGACAAAGGCCAGGCTGGCCTCCATCCCCACTCACTCCCCAGTGAGCCATTGAACTCCGCCCAGACCATGGGTACCAGCTGCTCTCTGACTGGCTTCACATCTCCCGAGGGAGGCGGATGGAGGGAGGCCGGCCTTCGCCTTTAAGAGCACTCTCCTGCCACCCCTCCCTTTCCCCAGAGGCGAGCTTCATCAGGCAGGAGCCAGAGGCCAGAGAGACAGCGTGCAGCTCCAGGTACAGCCTCCCCCAGCTCCCTGGCCCTGAGGGTGGGTGCCTTCCTTCTCCCACACTGGTTATGCCCTGCTGCTGAGTCCTCCCCAGCCTGGCAGGATGGACAAACACCCCTAGGAAAGGGCATAAGGCTGGAGTTAGGGATGAATGACATGGGGCTTTGCAGAGAGGGATAGGGAATGGTATGGGGAAGGGATGCTGGCCATGGACTGCTGGCCTCCTGGGCTGGGCTGCATGATATAGGGTGAAGGAAGTGATTAAGCAGGGAAAAGGACACAGGTCTTTTCCTGACTTCTTCCACTTGATAGTTTTGTGACTTTGGGCAAGTGACAAAACAACCCCGTAATATGGGTGATCCTACCTTGTACCTTGCATGTGCCAGGCCCCAGGAGTGAGGCTAGAAGCTGAGAAATGACTCACACCCAGGCCTCTACTGACTCCTCAGGGTCCAAGCCAGACCCCTCCAAGAGGGCCAGCAAGCAGCCAACCCAGTTGCCTCCCCTGAGCCTCAGTTTCTCCAACCAAGGAGCCAGGGTGGGCCTTGATCTATCTCCAGACCACATAGGGGCCTGAGGTCTTTCTTGGGGAAGGGGTTGGCCCAAAGACCGCACTGGCAGAAGTCCCAAGGTGCTGAGGCCCCCATCCAGAACACACTGTCTCTGGGGTACAGGCTGAACATGCCACACGTGCTTCCCCCTCCCTGCCCCTCCTGGCCCTGTGTCTAGCAGCTGAGCAAATGGCGTCTCCTCCCTTCTCCCTGCCCCCTGCCATTCCTGCGCAAAGGGCACGGGGCCTGGCGTGTGGCACTGGCAGCTGGAGCTTTCCATGCTGCCGTCAAGTTTTCCAGAGCACAAAGACAGGAGAGCCAGGAATAACTGGCTGGGCCCCCAGAGGGTCTGGAGGGGATGGGCCTGCCTCAGACCTGCTTTCAGACCCTATGCCAAGGGGTGCAGGCAGAGGGCCAGCTGCCCAGGACCAGGGCTTTGGGAGGCTTCTGTGGCTACTGGGAGCCCATTATCTGGCATGCATTCTGTAGGAATCAGCCCAGGCTCCAGTGTGACCTGGGTCCACTCCTTGTGTGACCTTGGAGAAGTCATTTAACCTCCCTGAGCTTTGTCTCCTGCGGGCCCAGGTGGCAGCTTCTCAGGATCCCAGGGAGTGAAGGGCCCATACTGAGGTTGGCTATGCCCAGAGCTGCTGTTATGATGATCGTTTTTATGGCTGGACAACCCTGGGCCAGTCACAGACCAGCTGGAGGCTCAGCTCAAGCCAAGGCACCTCCAGGGCCCCATACTGGATAAAGCACAACCCCAGAATCCTGGCCAGGGACCACACGGCAGCAAAGCCCCTACCCAAGGGAGCTCAGCCCCTGGTCTTCTGAGCAAGAGGATGGGTACCACTGGGCAGGAAGAGCGAGTGTCTACGCTCTCCAGAGGACACAGGAGCAAGGAGACCAGAGCATTCTCACCAACCAGGCCAGTTCCCCTTCCTCCCCCCTGGGGGGTGCTGGGTGCCGGACACCCCTCCCCAGGGGCTATATTAGCCGTGTGAGTCATGGTGGACCGGCTGGGAGGCGGCAGGCTGGCAGGCACAGTGTAGGGTTACAGTCCATTTATGGGCGCAGCCGAAGGCAGATATCAGTGTCGATGGCATTCGCTCCCAGCTATTCTTAGGAGCCTCTCAAGAGCTCCACGCAGCCCGGCTGGGCAGCAAGGGACAGAACAGGCAAGGCTGGGGGTCAGGGGCAGGGGCAGAGGTGTGGACCGGGCAGGCGGAGTGCCTGAGTGCCCTCTCACTCAACCCTCTCTACCCTTTGTCTGCAGAGGCGGCCGCTGACAGCACCAGCATGTCTTACAGTGTGACCCTGACTGGGCCCGGGCCCTGGGGCTTCCGTCTGCAGGGGGGCAAGGACTTCAACATGCCCCTCACTATCTCCCGGGTGAGTGCACCCTGCCACAGCCTGGCACCCGATGGGGCAGGCACGCTTGGAGGAGGGCATGTGTGTCCGTCTGTCTGTCTGTCCTTTCTGAGCCTCTCAGAAAGCAGAGCATGCCCCATCCCCTGGGACTGGCCTGGTCCTCTGGTCTCAGCCACAGCTGTTTGCTCACTGGAGCGCGCCGGCCTGTTATGCATGTGAGACATCATGAGCAGGTGGTAGGTGTTTTTAGCAGAGAAGAAAATGCTGAGTTTTCAGGCAGGCAGGCAGGCAGGCAGGCAGGTAGCTGGACAGAGAGTACAGCACCTTCCTGATCCCTTTACTGTTAGAGTGGGCTCAGGGTGCCCCCAAGCCTTGAGCATTTCCCTAGATATGGGCAGCTGCTTTGGGAAGGGAGTATTCCCAGCATGGAGAGGGCAGGTGATGGGCAGTTGGATAGATGGACAGACAGACGGTTGACCTTGGCTGCCCAGCTGTCAGAGTGTGGGGCTGGGCTGGACTGAGTACTGGGCACCTGCTCCATCCCAAACTTGAGACACCAAGACCCTGGCTCATGGGGCTGGGCGCTTCTCCCCATTCACCATGGCTGCTTTGTCTGTCTCAGGTCTTGTTCCCCACAAGTGCTGGGGCCTGGTGAGATGGCCCCCTATCCTGCAGTGTCTGTGATGGGGAGCAGCATGGCCTGATGCAGATGACACAGAACATCAGGGGTTGTCTGAGTAACTCTACCGCCTGGCTGGAGACAGCAACACCAGAGAGGCAGAAAGTTAGCCATGCTCCTGAGGAAGCACTCCAGGAGCAGGGACTGATGGGGGAACAGCCCCCAGACCGTAGTAGGCACTCCGTCAGTTTCTGTCAAACAAAGAGACTCCCCAGCAAGGCACTGGTAGACCCAGGGCTGAAGGCCCCAAGGCTCAGGGCGAACTGTGAGGCATACAGGGCAAGGACAACCCTGCCTGGTGGCTGAGCCCCTGACCGTGCTGTTCCGGGCACAAGGCCAGAGGGGGAGGCCCCCAGTCTGTCACTGGAGGGTGGTAGGTAGGCAGGGGTATCTGGGCTACTGCCCACCAGGGGAACAAGGGGACAGTTTCTTCTCTGGGGCCTTAAGGACTTGCCTTGGGCCTGGGGGCTGGAGGAAGGGGTTGGAGGGGAAGCACTGAAGTGGGCAAGGCCTGAAGGGGCTTGGCAGAGGGGCCAGGGAACCTGGGCAGCGGGTCAGGAGCCAATGCCCCCAGTGGAGGAGTAATCTTTTTTTTGTTCCACGGGTACTTGAGGGGACCCCAGAAGTAGAAGCCCCACCCAGGGATGCCGTGAGAGCCTTATAATAGCCATAGAGGCCACATGCTTACAGGAGGGGTGCTGGCCTGGCTCTGGTGCAGGGAACAGGCCCTGACCTCCATCCTTCAGTTGCAGATGTGGCTTGTTCTAACCTGGAGATTCCACCCCTCCAGATCTACTGCCCTGGAGACCACAGGGTCCTGGGCACCCACAGCCTTGCACACTTTGCATGAGGTGGTGACCTGTGAGCATGTGAGCCCCAGTGGATTTCCCACTGCCCTTTCCCACAGCTCCCCACCCCCATGCTTGCAGGACTCCTTCCTGTATAAGGTGGAGCCTCTGTGTGCTCTCTCATGGGCCCTGTGGCCTCCCCTGCCTGGGACTGAGCCCACATCTCCCCCAGCTCCACCATCTCGAGGCCTCCTGCTGGTGCTCCCTGCCCTATCCCTATGGGTGCAAATTGGCCACTGGGCTCAGTGGCACTCAGGATAGCCAATGACCTCACCCAGGGTCTATGTGCCACCTGGCCCCGGCCAGCCAGGGGCTTAAATGGCAGCCCAGAAGCCTTAAGCTAGATAGCAGGAGGAATGTCCTTACTCTGGGGAGGGGGTATGCAGGGATGTGCTGGATCCAATGACTGTGGGGACTTCTAAAAATAGAACCCGAAGCTCGGGCAGGGCACCGGGGGATGGGCATGATATGGCCTCTCGGCTTCCTTTAGGGGCATACCCCAAATCACCTAAGCCGCGGAGCAGGCTGGACTGGGTACTGGAGCCTTCCCCAGGGCTCGGAGCCTCTTGAGAAATTTTGGTGGTAGGCTGCTGATAGCCTGGGCTTGTGTCCTGGTTCAGTGCCGCTGGCAGGGCAGGCCTTGTGGACACAGCCCTGCCATCCCACCAGGGCTGTAGGATTTACTGCCGGGGCTCGCAGGGCCCTTCTGCACCAGGGACATCCCCCTACGGGGGAGGCATGGCCAGAGCTCTCTGGAGGAACCCCACTCCCACCCCAGCCAGGACCTGAGCCTGTGCCATAGGGCACCAGAGGCAAGAGTGTGTGACCCTGTGGGGTGGGCAGGCAGGCGAGGCTGGGATCGTTACCTCGCTTCAGAGCCTGGCAAACTGAGGCTCGAGTCTGCTCACAGGACAGGGATGTCCATGGGTGGATCTCCTGTATCCTGTCACCCCTAACTCCCATGCTGGCTTGCTCACCCCTCTAACTGGGACTAATAGAGAGGCACTGGGGAGGGTCTGTCCCCTCTCAGCTGCAGGTGTGTGCTGCAGCTCCTCCTGGAAGGACACAGGCCACCTGCAGGCTGGGTGGTGGCTCCCGGGGGCTCATGGCAGCAACTTTGGGGCAGCAGCAGCCCCTCAAGGCATCCCTTCATAGGGTCTCTGCTTGCAGACCCACAGAGAAGGGAGTTCAAGAGGGAGACTGGGAAAGGAGGGTGGCGGGGAAATGCCTTTATTTATCCTGGACAGGTGTGGCTGGGCCTGCAACATGAGCTGCCCTTTCACCCCACCCCAGCCAGTTCTCCAGGAAGTGGAGAAGGGGGAGCAGCCCAGAGAGGGAGCAGCTCCAAAGGCCTCTGCCCTGGCAGCTGGCCAGAGGCTGGGGCTGTGGTCTGGGGTCTCACCTCTTCATGCCTCTCATGCCTCCGCCTTGGGGAAGAGGAGTATGCTTTGTTAGGCTCTGCTGCTCTCAGCTGTGTCACCTCAGAAGTCTGTTTACCTGCTCGGCCTCAGTTTTTCTCACCCTTAAAATGGGGATAGCAGGCTGGGCGCGGTGCCTCATGCCTGTAATCCCAGCACTTTGGGAGGCCGAGGGGGCAGACCACTTGAGGTCAGGAGTTTGAGACCAGCCTGGCCAACATGGTGAAACCCTGTCTCCACTAAAAATACAAAAATTAGCCAGGTGTGGTGGTACATGCTTGTGATCCCAGCTACTCAAGAGGCTGAGGCAGGAGAACAGCTTGAACCCAGGAGGCAGAGGTTGCAGTGAGCTGAGATCGCACCACTGCACTCCATTCTGGGGGCAGAGTGAGACTCCATCTTAAAAATAAATAAATAAATAAACAAATAAAATGATGCCTTCCACACCTGTGAGAGCTCTTTCTAACAGGCACTTGTGAAAACTTTCCACCTGTTGTCTACTGGGACTGGTTGTGAGACTGGTGGAGTCGGGGGCTGAGCCTGGGCCCAGGAGGGGCCTGCCTGTCTACTGGAAACCCTCTCTTCCTAGGGTCTCAGCCACCCCGCCTGCAGGCTCACCTGGAGCACCAGCTCAGAGGCCTCTTCTCTGTGGGTTTCGGTTCCAGTATTTATCAGACTCTCCCAGCTGTGGTGGGAACATGCTGAGGACAGAGGGTCTCTGGGGAGAGGAAGGGGGACAGGCTGAGACTATTCTGGGGTAGCTGTGCCGGCAATTCCTGGAATTTCGGGGCCGCTGGAGCACGCAGTGCTGTTTCTTGGGCAGCTCTTAGCAGTGCTGACAGGCCGTGCTGTTTATAGCCGCACTGAAGGTCAGGCAAGCCTCCGAGGGCTTCAGTGGGGCTGGCAGGGGCCTCCCTGCAACATCTATCAACAGGGGAAGATAAACGGCCAGAGGCTCAGAGGCTCACAGCTGGGGAATGCATTCTTAGAGGTCCCCCAGGCCAGGTCCTCCGGGCTGCTCAGAACTGCATCTAACTCTGTGAGGGATCCAAAAGGAGAGGACATGAGGCTGGCTGGGTCCTGGGGAATGAATTGGACCCTTGGAGGCCCCTGGGCCAGGACACCGTGCAAGGGCAGCTGCATAAGCAGCCCCAGGGCTCCGGGCCTACAGATATTGTGGGGTAGCCAGTGTCAGGACTGCAGGGCTGTTTGAGAAAGGCTGGGCCAGGCTCTGCTGGGGGCTAGCTCCCCAATTCCCTGAGTCTCCTTCCCTTTCTGCATGGTCCCCTCTCATCCAGAGGCTGCCCCTGACTGCAAAGACCCTCCTCTACACTGAGCCCTCCCACCCCCAAACACAGCTTTGGCACCCCTTTGGGACCAGGCTCCACCTCTGCCCAGGAACCATCCTTGGACACAAGAATGGGCCTTGCTGGGGGCCCTTGAGAGCCAGTGCCCATGAGGGCATTTTATTGGCCACACCCAAGACCCAAATGGAACTGTGGACCTGGACAGGAGGAAGAGAGGCAGGAGAGACTCAAGAGACACTTGAGGAAAGCCAGGGGAGGTGTGGTCAGCTACAGAGGGGGCAGTGACCCGTGGCTTTGGACACAGAAGGTCATTGATATGCGTGGAATAATGGGGCCAAAGGCAGACGGCTGTGTGTGAGCAGGTGGGAGGCAGCGGCAGTGGGGGCAGGATGTGTGGGTCACTTCTTGGAGGAGTCTGGAGGTGCAGAAAGGAGACATGACAGGAGCCAGTTGGAGCCACCCAGGCAGGCAGGGAGAGGCTTTTTGAGCATTGAGGGGACTCCGGCTTATTTATCGGCCAGGGTGGAGTTGGGGAGTGGGACCATGGGGAGACAGAAGGTTCCAGTGAGAGGGTGAGCATGAGCAAAGCCCCAGGGGAGGCCAGATGGGAAGGCAGCAGAGCAGGACAAGACAGTAATTTAATCATACAATGAAAATGCACTTTGTCCCACCTGCCCCAACCCAGGCAGGCAGCCTGGGAGTGTGGGGAGGGGGAGCTGCTGAAACTTGTACCCTTCCTACTTATCTGCCACCTGCCCCAGCCTCCACCCACCACATCTACACTGGCACATCTAGAAGAGGAGGAAGGCAGGGGCCTGCCTGGTTTGAACACCGGGAGTGAATGATGGCCAGAAACGTCTGCAGAGCCCAGCTGCTCTCTCTGCTGCCAGGGAACTGGGAAAATAGGAGCCAATGGCATGGGTGCGTCTGAAGCCTCACTGGTGCCTTCTTTCCCCTGGGCCTTGGACAGAAGTTTCCTCCCCTCCCCCCAACACCCAGGCCCCTCTAGGGACAGCAGGCTGGCTCAGAACTGGTCAGTCAGGGCTGGCTCCTCAAGCTCCACCCTCTGCCAGCTGTGGATCTTGTTTCCTGTGGAGCCCGGGGATGTAGCCAGCCAGCCTCACACCTTCTGGGGGTAGCAGATGGGGTCAGCACTGTGCCTCCTGGATTTGGAGTTTTCCTGAAACTCTCTCAGCTCTGCACCCTCCTTACATAATCCCCTGTTTAACGACATAATCCTCACAACAATCCCGAGAAAGGCATTGTCATTCTCTTGACACTGGAGGGCTTGGAGGCTGGCACCGAAGTCAGGGGCCCGGCCCATACTGGCACCTGTGCTCCTCCTTTGCTGCCTCCCCGCCCCCAGCCCCCAGCACTCACAAGTGGCTCTGGCACCAGCTCTCCCTGGGCTGCCCTTGGAAGTGCCCTAAGACCTTGGCCCAGCAAGGCGGAAGGGCTCCTGGGGGCAGGGAGCTGATCTTGGCCTCCAAACACCTGCAGCCTTTCTTGGGGGCTTTGGAGACAGGAGCTCGGTGCCCCACCCTGAGGCCATTCTAGGCTGCACCCAGGGTTGGGTTTCCAGGGTTTAGAGGGGCCCATTGGCGGGAGAAGACTGAAATGTGAAGTGGGAATGAAACACTCATTCAAGGGAGGCATTTAAATGCTCAAAGGCGGCTAGAAAGATTAAAAAGAAAAAACCACAGCTCCAAGGAGTTGGGTGCTTTGGGCCCTTTCTGAAACACAGAAAGGAAAGAGGAGGATGGAGTCAGACAAGACAGACGTGGAAGCATCGTGCCTGGACTGCACTCTCCATGAGCCCTGGACTCTGGGCAAGGGTCTGAGGGTGCCCCCCTCCAACCCACCCAGGCAGGCTGCTCCTGAGGTGGGGTGAAGGCATCCGATGGCTCCTGATCATCCATAGGGTCCCTGCCTCCATCCTGCCTGAAGCACCTCCCTAGAGGAGGATATCAGCACCCCCAGCCCCCACCCTGAGGGATGTTGGACCCTACTCAGGGCAGCCAAAGGCCAGGCCAGCTGAGCCCTGACAAGCAGACACAGCTGCAGGGGAGAGGCACTGGGCAGGGGATCCAGCTCAGCCACTTCCCTCTGGTCAGAGGCTTGGCTACTGACCAGACCCCAGGAGGCTGAGCTCTCCCTTGGGAGCAAGCATCCCCCCGGCCCATACCTGAGGATGAGGGAGAGCCAGGCAGGTCTAGGTGAGGGGAAGTGAGGAGACCTGGTGGGGAGGGCTGGTGCCCGCTGACCCATGCCTGTGGGAGAAAGATGTCTCTGAGGCAGCTCCAGAGGGAGGACAGTCAGATAGCCCTGCAGAGGGCCCCTCTGATCTGGCCCCAGCCTCTCTTGGATATCATTCTGTTGCCCTTGCTCATGCTGTCATCATGATCTTCTGGACACAACTCCCATCTTTCCTGTCAGCATCTCCTCTGTGACCGAGGCCACAGCCTTTCTGCGTGGGGTCTGCAATGACCCAGCCCTGCAGGGGGACGACCCCTTCTCTGTAGATGGGCATTTGGGGGTGCCCTGCCGTGAGAGAGCCTTGCTGTGGGGGTGTCCTGCTGTGGGGGAGCCCCATGGGCAGTTCACTAGGACAGAACAGACATTGCAAAATTCGCCCTGGAAAGAAGTATGCTGGTACCTGCAACTTTCTTTGAAATGCCCGGCAAATGAGATGGATTGATGGATGTGGAGGGATGGAGTGTGATAAAGCAAAGCGAGTGAAATGTTATGGTACAGCCATGGTGGCGGGTGTTCAGGTATACACTTTAGAATGTTTTCTACTTTTCCTGCCTAGAAATCTGCAAAAATGTCTATAATAAAATGTTGGGGATCACATAGAGGAGTAGGGAAAGTTGATTTTCTGCAGGACAGGCCTGGCTGGGCAGCTCAACTTGCCCCCAGGAGTCCCCTCTCAGTCTAGAAAACTCTTTTGCTTTCCTTCACTGATGTTGGTTTTTACACTTTGTTCACCTCTACACTCAAGGCAGCAATACACTCCTGTCATTAATAGAGGCTATGGCAATGAGTCTGGGGGTAAGGGCTATGTGTATTTTAAGAAATCTCAAGTAGCTCTAAGATGCCCCTGCGGGGCCTGGAGGGCAAGCTGGACTTTGCAAAGCAGATGCTGTGGCTTCCTGGCAGTCCAGACGTCTGTTTCTATATTGTCCTTTCCTGTCTCTGCAGATTCCAGGGCAGGGGAAGGGGCGCTGTGGGCACAAGGTGGCCAGTATTTTAAGAGGGCACCACAGGCTGGGTGTGGTGGCTCATGTCTGTAATCCCAGCACTTTGGGAGGCTGAGGCAGGCCAATCACTTGAGGTCAGGAGTTGAAGACCAGCCTGGCCAACATGGTAAAACCCCCTTTCTACTAAAAATACAAAAATTAGCCGGGCATGGTGGCATGCGCTTGTGGTCTCAGCTACTGTGGGGAGACTGAGGCAGAAGAATCGCTTGAACCCAGGAGGCGGAGGTTGCAGTGAGCCGAGATGATGCCATTGCACTCCAGCCTGGGCATCAGAGCAAGACCCTGTCTCAAAAAAAAAAAAAAAGAGAAAGAAAAAAAAAAAAGAGGGCACCACAGCCCCTAGGGCTGAAATGGCAGGTTCACAGCAATTGGAGAGGGCTGTCCTGGTCTTGCCGTCATCACCCACGTGGTGTAGGGCAGTGTTTCCGTGACCCGTAATGTGGTCGTGCAGAAACAACTCAGTTCCTGGGCTGCATCTGCAGAGCCCATCTGGGAATGGGCTGGACACTGGTGACTGGTGACTGCAGGGCATCCTGGTTTGGAAGGGGCTTCCCTGTGAGGGGACTGGCAGGAGCTTCCACCCATGTCTGTAAGCCCAGAGCCTGGCCAGAGGCCCACCCAGGCTTGGCACCTGGGGCAAGGGACTGTCCCCAGAGCCTCTCTGGGCTCCTTCTAGGATGGTTCTCGGGCCTTGGCCTGAATCTAGCTTCTGCCAACACTAGGAGCTGGCTTGGTCCTTGGGTTATAGCCAGGAAGGTGACTGGGATGTGCCCAGAGAAGCCCAGAGGACTGGCTGGTGGGCATGTTTGGGAGGCAAAGCCAAGGAACACTTCCAGCCACAGCTTGTAGGGGGTGGGGTCCGGAGCCTCCTCTTTCCTGTGATGTCCCTGAAGGCCAGGCCTGCATGGCACTCCTCATGATGTCATGGGGGTTGGGGACCTCCAACATGGTATGGTGGGAGTCAGGTCATAAAGCCATTCTATGTGATATTAGCAGGGGCCAGCCCATTCCATGTGATGTCACAGAGGGTACAGCCAGAGTCTCTGGCATTCCATGAGGTATCTTTAGGGGTGGGGCTGCTAATGTCACTAGGGGCCAGCCATCAAGCCTTTTTAGGTGACATTATTAGAACCTCTGAAATTTTGCATCTCATGTGATATTACTGTGGGCAGGGCCACCAAAGCATTCAGTGTGCTATTACTGGAGGCCGGGGGTGCAGAATTTGGCATCGTGCATGATGTCCCCAAGAGTGCAGTCTGAGCCACGATGACATCCCAAGTAATGTCCCAGGAGGTGTGGCCTTCCTGAGATTCCATGGGGAATTCCCGGGATGGAGTTGCAGTGGCATTCTGTGTGGTTACACTGAAGATGGGGCCTCCAGACTGTAACATTCTGTGGTATTATCGGGGCTCAGGGTTTGGGAACTGGCCCCCGCACCTGCACCCTGCCTTCTGGAGGTATGACATCAACTACAGAACCCTAAGCCCTGCCCCATTTCCCAGCTGAGTTTGCTCATCCAGGCAGGGTTGTCGGCTACCTCACTCTCTCCACATCTGCCAGGTAGCACAAAGCACCTGGCACTAAGATGCTTTTGAGTGGGTGCATTTATCCTGCCCTTCAGCCTGGCAGTGTCTCTGGGATGCTGCTGTGTCTTAGCTGCTGCATCTCCCTTTTCTCCTGGAGTCTGAAAAGTGCTCCATAGCTTTGCAGGGTGCAGGGGTTATAAGAGGCTAATCAAGGTTACAAATAGCCTGCAGTTTTTTGTTTGTTTGTTTGTTTTTAGACAGAGTCTCGCTCTCACCCAGGCTGGAGTGCAGTGGCATAATCTTAGCTCACTACAACCTCCACCTCCTGGGTTCAATCAAGAGTTCAAGCGATTCTCCTGCTTCAGCCTCCCGAGTAGCTGAGACTACAGGCACATGCCACCATGTCCAGCTAATTTTTTTTGTAATTTTGGTACAGACGGGGTTTCACCATGTTGGCCAGGCTGACCTCAGGTGATCTGCCTGCCTCAGCCTCCCAAAGTGCTGGGATTACAGGCATGAGCCACCACACCTGGCCACCCTTTTTTTTTTTTTTTTTAAGACCGAGTCTCCCTCTGTCACCCAGGCTGGAGTGCAGTGGTGCAATCTCAGCTCACGGCAACCTCTGCCTCCTGGGTTCAAGCAATTCTCCTGCCTCAGCCTCCCAAGTAGCTGGGACTACAGGCGCCCACCACCAGGCATGGCTAATTTTTGTATTTTTAGTAGAGACAGGGTTTCACCATATTGGCCAGGCTGATCTCGAACTCCTGACCTTGTGATCCACCCACCTTGGCCTCCCAAAGTGCTGGGATTACAGGCGTGAGCCACCACGCCCAGCAGATGCCTGCAAATTTTTAAGAGACAGAGTCTCCCTCTGTCACCCACGCTGGAGTTCAGTGGTGAGCGATCATAGTTTATTGTAACCTCAAACTCCTAGGCTGGAGTGACCCTCTCACCTGCCTCCTGAGTAGCTAGAACTACAGCCATGCACCACCACACCCTGCCAAATATTTTTATTTTTGTAGAAACAGGGTCTGGGCTCCTTTGCCTGGGCTGGCCTCAAACTCCTGGCCTCAAGCAATTCTCCTACCTCAGCCTCCCAAAGTGCTGGGATTATAGGCATGAGCCACCATGTCCAACAGCCTCCAAACCTTAATGGCTCAGAACAACAAAAGTTTCTCATTCATGCAACGTCCAATACAGTGCTCCTTAATCATCTCTCCTCCTCTCCATGCCCTGCATTCAGTCAGTCAACAAGCAGAGAGTGTGCAGGATCACAAGGATGGTTGCTAGAGGCAGACCTGGAAGGAGCATACATTGCTTCCACCCTCATTCAGTTGGCCAGAGCTAGTCCCAAGGCTGCAGTCAGACACAAAGCTCTAAGCAATGTGGTAGTCATGTGCCGGAAAGAGGAACTAGGCTTGGTTAGCAGCTGGTACTGGCCGTAGCGAATGAAAAACACAATGACGGCTTCTGTTGAATACTCCCGGGTGACTCTTCCCCAAGGACTGGCCTTTCCTCAGGACCACCTTCCTTATGCTCACCCCCCACCTCCACTATCCAATCAGATCACACCAGGCAGCAAGGCAGCCCAGTCCCAGCTCAGCCAGGGTGACCTCGTGGTGGCCATTGACGGCGTCAACACAGACACCATGACCCACCTGGAAGCCCAGAACAAGATCAAGTCTGCCAGCTACAACTTGAGCCTCACCCTGCAGAAGTAGGTGGGAGCTCTCCAGAGCAGGGGGCGGAGGTTTGGGTGTGGGCATGGGGCAGGGGCCAAAAGAGGGATTGTCCCATAGCAATTGAGTGGGCCCCGCCCTGGGCTACAAAACTGTGCAGGAAGATAAGGACAGCCCTGGGCCAGAGGAATGAACAGGCCCAAGTCGCTGTCAAGCACCTAGAGGCAGACATTACTGCCTCACTTTACAGTTAAGGCAGAGATGGTGGTCCTGGTGCTGCCCGTACGTGGGCCATTGGTCCTGGAAGGCAGGTCTTACCTACTTCCACTTTGCCCAGGCAGCCCCCAGTGACGTAGCAGGGGCCCATGGATTCTGACCAAAATGCCCAGGGGCCATGATTTCTCCATCCTCGTCGGGCCCAGGGCCTTCTTGGGGAGATCCAGCCCATGGGGTGGACAGTGGATCTGGGGCCCTCTGACTCAGCTATCTCTGAGAGCTGACTCTGGCTCTCTCTTGCTCTCTCCTCACCAGCCCTGCCCAGGCAGGAGCTTCTGGCCCCAGGGGCAACTTCCTCACCTGGTCTCATTTCTGGTTTCTACAGATCAAAGCGTCCCATTCCCATCTCCACGACAGCACCTCCAGTCCAGACCCCTCTGCCGGTGATCCCTCACCAGAAGGTAGGTGCTGACTGTGGCGGCGGGGTCCACTCAGCCCTGGTTCCTGGAGTGCTGGCCCTGGCCAGCCTGCCTGGTCTTTGGCTGGCCCAACTGGGATGAGGCCGTGGGATCAGCCCTGCCCCATCCCTGCCCCTGCTGCAGCTGACCCTGGGGAAGTGAGGCAGCCCCTTGGGAGAGACTTTCAAGCCCCTGTTGAACACTGGATGTGGGAATGAATGCCTGCCTGGGTGCAAGCCACCTCCGCTATGCCTCGTGGCTGGGCTGATAGGAAGCCAGCTTGGGCAGCAGTGTTCCCAGGAGAGGGGTCACCCTCCTGGCCAGGCAGGGGACGAGCGTCCAGGCTCTGACCTTCATTTGCCAAGGGGGCCACCGCTGGGTGACTGTGGCTGAGGCCCAGCTTGACGAGGACCTCCAGGTGTGGAGGGGCCTGCTGGCCTCACCCAGATCTCTCCCTCTGGTTTCCACTTCCCCACCTGCCCCTCCCAAGTGCATTCCCCTGTAGCCCTTAGGACGTGCTGGCAATGGCAGGCACAGGGGAGAAGGGAGGCCAAGCCCTGGCTCCAGACCTCACCACTGCCTAGGCCCTTCCCAAGGCCCCGCCAAGCAGCTCAACCCCCGAGGGCTCCCTGCTCAACTTCTCCCCCTATGTGAACTGATAGTGACCCCACCTGTCCAATGGGGCAGATTGGGCAGGGCAGTGGGGAGAGGGGAGAAAAAGAGGCTGACAGGGGTGGGGTAGGTCACAGACTGGGGAAGTGGGTGGAGGGCTGCTTGGGAGATGCTTGCAGAGGTAGACTGAGGGGCCCAAATGTGAGCTACCCAATTCCTCAGCTTCCCTCCTCACCTCCCCACCACCTGCCCACAACCAGCCCAGGAACTTCATCTCACTGGCAGTGTGGGGTCAGTGGAGCAGGAGGCTGGGCTGTGCCCACTGGGCACCCACTCTCAGGGGCAGGGGGAACAGACACAGAACGGGCCATCCCCTGACCCCTACACCCACTTCCTCGGGCCCTGGGGGCAGGAAGCTTGGCTTGGCTTCCATGCAGGGCTTGGCACTCTGCCCAGCTGGATGCCAGCCTCACGCCAGGCCAGGAGCCATGTGCCTGCCTGCTCCTCCACCAGTGTCCTCCCCTCCAAGTGCTGCGCCCAGGCGCTCTGGGCTTCAGGCTGCGGGGCTCGCGCTAACACATCTGTTTCAGGTCCACGCAGGAGCGCTGGGACGCGTGTGGCCTCTAACCGCTCTCTTCTCTCTCCCCTGCATGGCCTGCCCTGTGCCAGGACCCCGCTCTGGACACGAACGGCAGCCTGGTGGCACCCAGCCCCAGCCCTGAGGCGAGGGCCAGCCCAGGCACCCCAGGCACCCCGGAGCTCAGGCCCACCTTTAGCCCTGCCTTCTCCCGGCCCTCCGCCTTCTCCTCACTCGCCGAGGCCTCTGACCCTGGCCCTCCGCGGGCCAGCCTGAGGGCCAAGACCAGCCCAGAGGGGGCCCGGGACCTACTCGGCCCAAAAGCCCTGCCGGGCTCGAGCCAGCCGAGGCAATATAACAACCCCATTGGCCTGTACTCGGCAGAGACCCTGAGGGAGATGGCTCAGATGTACCAGATGAGCCTCCGAGGGAAGGCCTCGGGTGTCGGACTCCCAGGAGGGTAGGTAACGGACATACAGCTCTCCACAGGTGGCCTGGGCCACCTGGGTCCTCGGTGCTCGGCAGAGACCTGGTCAGGTGGTCAGAGCGAGGCACTGGCCCCAATCCAGCCAGCCCCGAGCCCATGAGGTCAGCAGTGATCCTGCGGCATTTGCCATGAGCCGGGCATGCTAGCGATTTATACAACCAACCACGCTGGGGTGACATGTCGGATTTTGCAGAGGAGGAAACTGAGGCTCAGAGAAGGTTAAGTCACAGTCCGTTTGTCCAGCTACCATGTGGCCGAGCCAGTCCTGAATTCAGGAGATTCTGACTTCCAACACTTTTTCACTAGGCCACTCCCCAGAACAGGACAGCACAGCCTGCAGCCTTCAAGAGCTATGCACAGGTCCCCACCCCTCTGGGAGCTCGGAGGCAGGAGCAGGGGAGCGTTCGAGAGGTGGAAAAGCGAGTTATCTGGGACTAGGAATAGTCTGGGAAGCTGCCTGGAGGAGGGAGCCCTTGAATTGTATATGGAGAGACTCTTTGGCAGTGGCGTGCAGGGAGCGGGTTTGCAGGAGTGACCTTGGCCAGGGTGGGGTGGCGAGGAAGCAGGACCCCAAGGAGAAAGGGGCTGTGCAGGAGAACAGCAGCCTCACCCCTAAGGTCTAGCTGGCGGGACTCTGGGAGCACAGCAGGTAAAAGGACATGGGACTGGGGCACTGTAGGGGGGAGGCAAAGGAACGGAGTCCCCACACTGGGCCTGTGTTAGCTCTGAGCCCTTCACGCTTGTTCTCTCACCCTAACTTCTACTCCCGCCCTGTGCAATTGGCATAGCCCTCTCCAGGCAGGGCAGGCTGAGTCAAGGCAGTAGAGCCTAGTGGTTCAGGGTTCCTCCTCCGAATCATGGAGGAATCACACTGTCCATGTCTCAGGGTTATTGGGAGGATAAAGGGCCCAACACTTGTAAAGCTCTGAGCTTTGTCTGTCACCCACTCACTGCATGACACCTGGTATCATCACTGCCTGGAGCCACCCAGAAGAGTCACAGTAGGAATCCGGTCAGTCTGGCCCAAGCCCATGCCCTTGCCTTTGCCCTTGCAGCAGAAGGCACCTGTGCCCCATCAGGTCACTGCTCCCTGTGGCCCTCAGCTTCCCCACCCCCCCAGCTCTTTCTAGAATCCTCAGTGAAGCTGATTTCTGGCACCACATGGCTTGCTTCCCTTACCCAAGGTGACAGAGCCATATATGCCCCCAGGGTTCCCCAGCAAAGGACTTTTGCCAGAAAACTCAGGGAATAGTAGAACAGAGATGACCTCCTTGTCCCGCATTTGTTGGGCTGGTAGGTCTTCCCGGTCCTTTTCAGGAACTGGCCTCAGGCAGAGAGGTCAGCCTCTGGTGGCCTGGGACTCCCAGGAGACCCACCTGCAATGATGATAATGTCTCCCCATACTGACCATGCACTCTGGCTATGGACCAGCTAACAGTCCACATGCCTTATCTCTCAGCAACACTCTCTAAAACAACTCTCTCTGCAACTCCAGAGGTGGGCATGATTTTCCCCATTTTATAGCTGGAAAATAGACGCTCAGAGAGAGCAAGTAATTTGCCCAAGGTCACACAGCTAGTAAGTGGCAGACAGAACTGGCATGCAGGTCTGCCTGACTCCACTTTGCATTGAGACAGGGACTTGCTGCCTGCTCAGGGAAGTGAGGGGCCAGGCCCACCTCTGCTTCCCATAGTGCCTAAGGTACTCTGCTGTCGGTGCAGGGGCTGCCCAGACCCTGATGAATGTGTAAATTATTTCTTGGTGCTCAGAGCAGCAGAGTCTGACGTTTCCTCCAAGGGATGGTGGGCTAGGGGAGGATGTGCAGTGGGTGCTTCATCCAAAGTAAAAGCTGATGCTGCTGTCTCAGGCAATGCCGGCAGGAAGGGCTGGAGCCTCTGACCTGGGCTGGCCTAGGGCAACCTCTGCTGGGCTGAGGCCACCACCTATGCTAAGTGGGTCAGCAACAGGGTCAGCAAGGGCTAATCCCCGTGCTTATCCATGGCACACTTCTCCCATGCTGAGCACCTTAGACTCATGACCCGTTCAGTCTGCACAACCCACCTGCGGGGTAGGCACTACCATCTCAAGAATTAGAATTAGGAAACAGGCTGGGACGGGTGGGTAATTTGCCCGGAGTCACAGTGCTAGGAAGAGGCAGGGTCACAACTTGAACTCTGTCCTGTCTGGCTCCAAAAAGAAGCCCCTTCCGCTACTCTCTCCTCTGGGCAACTTGCAGTGCAATTCTTTGGCACCTCGTATCCTCTTGGAAGGAGGAGAGAGAAACAGATGTGGTGCAAGGGCAGACGGGCATAGGCATCCCAGCAGCCCCCTTCTTCTCCTCCCTTCTGAGGCTGGCACTGAAGGGCAGTGCCCCTCAGGCCACTCAGTGCAAGGGCCCCTGGGCAGGTCTTACATCTTTGGCTCATCTTCCCCAAGACCCAGGCACTGGCTCCTCTCAGATGTGTCTGCTGCCACCATCCCGGCCCCAGGTCCTGGGTGGGAGAAGCTGAGCAGGAGGCAGGAATAAATGTCAAAGAAGGAGCAGGCTGCCAAGGGAGGGCAGAGGCAGCCCCCACCCCGCCAGGCCAACACTGCCCTCTGCAGGGGGCCCTGGGCTGGTCAGGGCAAGAGATGACCCTGCAGCTGTCAGCACTGGCCAAAAATGGAGAAGGAATGGAGCTCCGTGCTGGCCCTTTCCTAATATAGCTCCACTTGCAGCTATTTTGAGCCTGGGAGGATAGAGGGAATTTTATCAGTTCTGAGGCAGTGGCGGGCCTGGGGCAGAGCAGGGCCACTGTGCTGCTCCCTGGGACCGGGGACCACTGACTTGAGCCTGGCTTCCCAGGGTTTGGCTGCAAATGACCAGGGCCAGGCTGGCCGGGGCCCAAGCTCCCCCAGCTACAGCCCACACTGGGCAGATTCAAGAAGGTGGCAGAGTTTGGGGACAGAGCCCCCCACCTTCCACACTGTCTCCCTCACAGGCCCCCGACAGGGCTGCTGGCCACAGGGTCTGCCACTGCAGGGAATTTGCATTTAAAGAAACACAGGACAGACACTGCTTTCCCTACAGAGACCATGCTCTGGGAGGCTCACTCTCAGGTCAGAGTGAGAGGAAGGGGCCTCTCACTGTGCTGCCTCGGCTGTTGAGCTCACACTTCTCCCTGCGCCTGCTCGCTCCTCCATCCTGCCTCATTGCTGGCCCAAGGGGCCTTTAGGAGTGGCCCCTGGTGACTGTGCACCCCACTCCCCTATACCCCAAGAGGAGCAGCCAGAGCTGCCTGCGTCTCTTCTGGGAGGGAGAGGAGGTCAGGTTTGGGGGGGCATAGGAAACCCCGCGCACACCCTGCCTCCTTACCACTGCAATGCCTGCTCAGGACAGAATTCCAGAGCTGCCCCCACAAAACAGACTCTTAGTCCGGAGCTGCTGACAGGCAGGGAGGCCCCTGGGCCTCAGCCTTTTCCATAGCAGCCACAGCTGGTCCTGTCTCCACCCCTAGCTTCCACTCTGGGGTCTATAGCCAGGTTTGTATGTGGGGGATTCATGTATGCGGTACGAGTGCCCCTGAAGATAGACAAGAAAACCCTTCTTCTGGCAAAGCAGAGGGCACTGGGGACCCCTCAAGAGGGAAACATTGCTGTGTCAGTCTCTGAACCAAACCGAGGGTCCCAGTAGCTGTGATTCCCGGCTCTGAGTTCTCCCTCCTCACTCCTTGCTCTCCTCACCCATTGCGGTTTGGGCTGGTTCTGCCTCCACAATGACCAGGCTGATGATGGCCCCGGCGCTCAAACTGCCCCTGGTGGAGCCTCTCTCTGACCACCCTGTCTTCTTTGCCCTTTTCCTCCCCAGGTGGTAGTCAACTCTCCAGCCAAGTTAGTATCAAAGGACAGCATGTGTGTGCGCTTGCGTGCCAGCCCCAGCATGTGTCTGCGTGTGTCTGGCGTGGATAGAGTGTGCCTGCTGGCATGTGTACATGTATGTGCATATGTATGAGTGGGGTACACTTGTACCCCTGGGTGAGCCTGCATGTGTGAAGCTGGAGTAGAAGCATTTGGGGGTGGGAGTGGGGGCTCCATCCGATGGTTCTAATTTCATTCCCAATTTCCTGCTGCAGCAGCTGCTTAAGATGTGCCTGGGGTTGGTGACGGTGGCGGGCGCAGGGGGAGGGGGACACAGGCTGTGCTGCTGCTGGGCCTGTGTGAGCCTGAAGACCTTTCTGTCCTGGCGACCCCTCAGAAGGGCTGCACTGGATCTTGTCTGCCCGGGGAGCGCACCTATCCATTGGAGGGAAGAGCCTCCTGTGGGTAGAGGATGGCCAGCTACTCAGCAAACTGGACTTGAGGGGGCCTGGGCAGCTGGAGCCCTGCTCTGAGGAAGAAGCACATTCCCTGAAGCGTCTGGAAGATCAGAGCCCTGGGCCACCAAGGGGGTGGCCTGCAGGAAGAGCCCCTTCACGGAGAAACCTTGCTCAGAATCCCTGCGGGTGCCAGTGGAGCCGCTTTTCACCTTTGGGGCATTCTGGACTCAGCTTGGGCTGCTGCTCCCGACCCCTACCCCCAGCCCCATGCCTGCGCTTCCCCTGCTGTGTGTAGTGGGAGATCTCTCTGTGCCTGGCAGCCCCTGCAGACCCTGGGAGGGAGCTCAGGCTGAGCCAGGCACTGCAGGGGAGCTGGGAAAGCCAAGATGGGCAAGGAAACCCTTCTATGGCCAGGAGTGGTGGCTCATGCCTGTAATCCCAACACTGTGAGATGCCAAGGCAGAAGGATCAGCTTGAGGTCAGGAGTTCAAGACCAACCTGGGCAACATCGTGAGACTCTGTCTTTACAGAAAAAAAAAAAATAGTGGCATATGCCTGTGGTCCTAGCTACCTCAGGAGGCTGAGGTGAGAGGATCACTTGAGCCCAAGAGGTTGAGACTGGAGTGAGTGGAGATCACACCACTGCACTCCACCATGGGCGACAAAGCGAGACCCTGTATCAAAAAAAAAAAAAAAGAAAGAAAAAAGAAAACCTTCTGCTGCACTGGGCTTTGGGGGAGGGTGCCAAGGATTTTCTTGAATACACCCAGACCACCCACCATCTGGAGACTTGTGTAGCCTATGGGGGTTCAGGGCCTCGGCTCTGGGAGATCTCTCTCGACACCCACCGCGCCCAGCCCTTGCCTTGGCCACCCATGTAACCGCCACCTGTTGCCCTTTTCTCCTCCCTCTCCCTGCCCGTACTCCCGCACCCCTCCCCCAGCGCCGACTACCAGGAACGCTTCAACCCCAGTGCCCTGAAGGACTCGGCCCTGTCCACCCACAAGCCCATCGAGGTGAAGGGGCTGGGCGGCAAGGCCACCATCATCCATGCGCAGTACAACACGCCCATCAGCATGTATTCCCAGGATGCCATCATGGATGCCATCGCTGGGCAGGCCCAAGCCCAAGGCAGTGACTTCAGTGGGTAAGCGCCTCCCTCCTCCACCGCCACTCAGTGCCTCCAGAGCCCGAGGGGTATGGGCCATTGGGCACCATCGGGACCAGCTTTCTTCCCTCACGTTGGACCTCCTGGAGGCATGGCCCTTGGAGGGGAGCCAGCCTTCACCAGGGCCTTCTGGAACGTGGGTATCCTCTCTTCAGACCCTCTCCATGGTCAGCTTTAGGAGAAGGGTGGAGAAATGCAGAAAATGGTGGCTCCTCAAAGTGCTTTTCACAGCCTCTGCATTTTCCCAGGCTCTATGAGGAGGCTGGAAGAAGAGACTTCTACAGTCCTCTTAACAAGGGGACCATTCTGGAGGCCCCCAGGCCTCTCACAGCGAAGCTGTCCTTTAAGGAGGGGGAAGTTACCAGGTTCTTCCAGCAATGAGAATTGATTCAAATACACTGGCTGGGTTTCTGGTTTGGGAAGGGGTCTGCGACCAACCATCCACACTACTGCTGGCAATCAGTCCCACAGATGGGAGCAATCCCCTTCTTTTTGCCCTAGGAAGCCCGGCCTCAAGGCAGTGGCATTTAAGACATCCTTGGTTCCTGGAATTCACCCATTAGCTATGGCTGGGGAATTTGAGGGTTGGTAAAGAAAGAGTTGGCTGAAAATCATTTGTGGATGAAAAATGCTAGCAATGCAAACATTCATGCAGACAGACCTCTCTCTGCGTGTCTCTGTGTCTCCCTCTCTCTGTATGTCTCTTTCTGTCTTCCTCCTTGTTGCTTTTTCTCTGTCTCTCCCTCCCCCGACCCTCGTGTGTGTGTGTGTGTGTGTGTGTGTGTGTGTGTATGTGTCTGTCTATCTGTTGTTTCTTTTTTACACACATACACATAATTCCTCACTGTTTTCTACTTGGGAATACCACTGTGTTGGCTGATTATCAGTCTCGGCAACATCTTATCCCTGGGTCAGGATCCCCTAGCAATTCAAGGCAAAAAGTCTTGAAATGACAGTGATGCTTTTTTCCAAAGCCAGAAAAACCGATGTAATAAGAGGGATGGAGGGATTAAAAAGTCCCAGAGAACCCAGTTGCACTTGGCCTTTCCAGACCCCAGCCCTTGTGGCCATGATATGCATGCAGGTTATAAAGGGCAGGCTCCCCAGCCCCAAGGGTGGAACAGTGTGGGCTCTCTGGGCTCTGCTGGAACTGAGGAGCCTGGGGCCCTTTTGGAGATGCAGTACTTCCTCTAGGCCACCAGGGAGCAGAGGTCGCCTGTCCTGGAGTTTCAAGTCAAACTCCCAAGGCTCAGGGCTGCTGCTCTTCGCCTAATTCTGGGCAAGGTTGATTGAATTCCATCATTCAAAGCAGAAAATATGACCATGCAAGTTTACAAACACAAGCATTAGCTCATGCGTACCCAGAAAAACAAGGCTGCCTAAGCCCAAGAGCTAACAGGGATTTCCTGTTAACATTTCTTTGTCACGTGTGTCCTTGGTGTGCTCTTAAAAGTAGTAGCAATGGCCAAAGGGAAGTTCAATGGAGAATAATGAAAGAAATGCTCTTCACTAACTTTCTGTTTTCTGCACGTTGGGAAGACTGCTATCATTTGGTCTCACCACTAGGGCACCCATCAGTTTTGGAATTGATGCACTGTTGATTAATCGAGACTTCACGAAGGACGTTTCCCATCTCCCTCCTGTCCCCTCCCATCCCCTCCCTATTCCTCCCCTGGTATGCCTGGAAAGGGTCCTCTTCTCCTCTTCCTTTTAACGCAGCCACGCTGAGCTGACCATGCTGTGGTGCCAGTGAGTAACCCTCTTGGCCATAACGTGCTCCCATTTCTGCTGTTAATTTCCGTGGTTCCTTCCTCAATGACCGTGTTTTTTCTCTTTTTCTTCCTCCTTCACCCACCCCATTCCCATAACTCGTTTCTGACCCTAACCCGGCTCTCTTGTGTGCGCTGCCCCTCTGCTATCCCATGATGGACGCGCACTCACGGCTGGGTTTTCCTCTGCTTGGCAGGGCGTCACCGCTGGCGTAAGTAGACCCTGCAGTGTCTGTCCAGTCATCCGTCTGTCTGGTTGTGGGATGGTGTGTGTGGGTTTGGTGGGATGTGTCTGAGGACCAGTGGTCAGCCCACGTGCTCTGTCCACGCTCCTCCTCACACCCACCTGTCAGCCAAACGACATCCCTTGCAGCCTTTACAGGCAAGTACTTGTCTCTTGGGGTTTGTCCAAATAATGTCACTGTGGTCACAGAAATCACAGAGTAGTGACACTCATGCTGCAGGCCCAGGCTGGGGGTGCATACCTGTGTTCTTCTTGCCGTGCTTTGGGGTAGCTCCCCCCGCCTTTCCTATCTGCACTGGAACAGTGTAGACCCAGACATTAGAATGCACACTGGGCCATTATTCAGGGCTAGAAGGTGACAAGGTAACCTCTTGGAGGCCACTCCCCAGAATCCTCATGGGAAGTGTATCTGCAGGAGCCAGTGCCTGCCATGACCACCCATGGGAGGGGAAAGATGAATCAGACTGGGGGCTGCACACAGTGAAGCAAATGCAGCGGTGACCTGATGTTGCGGTGACTGTGGAGTGTTTTCTGTGGCAAGAAGAACAAGCTGAAAGTGGGTCCAGAGAGTGGACTCAGGCCAAGGGCCAAGGACTGCAGGACCTGTTCCATCTTCCCTGCATATATTCTCCCTGAGCCTTGGTGTCATGAAAGGCACAGCAGTTTCCTTATCTGACTCCCAGTCTTGGTCACAGCAGCAACAAGAGTCCCTGGTCTTTGCACGGGGTTGTGGGAAATGAAGCCAGAAATGCTTTCTTGAACCCTTGGAGCCAAGAAAGGCACAGGGGAGCTCCTCCTGGGCACATTCCAGGGAAACAGCAGCAAACACCTTCCACCTGCTCTCTGGATTGCAAAGCTCTGTAGAGAGGCTCAAGGGCCTTGCATCCACACCTTCCCTCACCCACTGCACAGTTCACACTCCCTCCTTCCCTCCCCTCCCAGTGGGTCAGGAGCCAGGACCAGGGAGACCTGGTTGTGCCTTCCTGTTGCCCATCTCACCCAGACCTTAGGAACGCCTGGGACTCCTCCCTATGCCAGAAATGGCCTGTCCCAGCAACAGCAAGATCCCACCCTCTCCTTTGCTCCCTGGGCAGCTGCAGGCTCCTCCCTGGCCGGACCCTAGAAGCCTCTGCTGGTCTTTCCCAACCGATCCCAACCACAGGCTGCCAGTACCTATAGCTCTCTGGGCCAGGGCAGGGCCTTCAGCGAAGCCAGGGCAGCTCCACCCAACCTCGATCACCTTTCCCCACCTCTGCTCTTGTAGCCCACCCTGAGCCAGACACAGGGACCAGTCCTGGGACACAAGGTCAGTTCCCTGTCACACTCCTTGCAGGGAGGGTATAAGACATGGACAATGGGGAGTTTCCTCTCCCAGCCAGCCAGCCCTCTGGGGAAAAGGGAGAGGCAGGCAGAAGAGTACTGGACAGGGCATCTTTCCAGGCATAGGTCCAGGGCCTCCCACTGGGCAGAAGTAGCCTTCCTGAGCCCTATGACTGCAGGGAGCCTAATGGAAAGGACACAGGGCTAGCAGCCAGGAAACCTAGGTTCTCACCCAATGGGGCCCTTATCTGCTGTAACCTGGAGCTAGTTGGCTGGCCTCTCTGGACCTCAGCTTCAGCATCTGTACGAGGAGAGGGCTGGGCCAGCAGTCTGTTACTGTTGTGGGCTTCACCTGAGCCCTCCCAGGCCTCTGAGAAGGTGGGCTGGGCGGCTTGGTCCTCTGGTCCCCCGGCCAGGGTGAGTGGGCTGTAAGGCTTTTGACCATGGCCTGCACTGCAGTCTGATTCAGGCTGGGAGGCACTGGACCCGAGGGGCTCTAGGGTCCCTTCTGGCTCTGATGTAGGATTTGTTTGTTCAGCCAAGAGTTTTGTGCACCTATCATGTGCCAGACCCTGGGAGCCTAAGGGAAGGTCACCTGGTCCTCCACAAAGGGCTGCGCTTCTCTGGGACAGAGGACCAGTGGCTTCCATGCAGCCCCACTCCCAACTTCCCCAGGCCAGAAATCCCCTGTCCCTACAGGCCATGCCAGGGCTGTGCCTTGCTGCCTTGTTTCTTACCACTTTCCAGCAGAGTCAGCCTACTCACACTGAGCCCATGGCCCCCAGTCCTTTTCCAGGGCAGTGACAGCATTGGCAGCTCCTTGTTTGGATCCAAAAGTGTGAGGAGGGCAGGAGATGGATCCTGAGGAATCCTCTGTGTCCCCCAGTTGGCCTCTCTCCAGCCAGCCCCAAACTCACGGCCTGCTCACGGAGGTCAAAGAAGACCTGTTCTGTTTCCTCCCTCTGTAAAGGGAATCTAGGGGTGGAAATGTCTCCGGCCTAGGCCTGGAGTTAGCACTGGGGAAGGGCAGACCTGAGGGATCTGAGCCTCCTGTCTCTCATGAGGGAGGGGAGTCACTGCTTCACTGCGACCAATCTGAGCACCGAGAACCCAGGTCATGCCCATATCTCAGGTTCTCAGACAGCAATGGATAAAGGCAAGGTGGGGACAGAACGATAGGGGCCACCAATGGGCATGGAGCAGGGACCCAGCAGGGTGGGAACTGGGCTCCAGCCTAGCCCTCGCCCACGGCCTCTCTCTGCATTACAGGAGCCTCCCTATTAAGGACCTTGCCGTAGACAGCGCCTCTCCCGTCTACCAGGCTGTGATTAAGAGCCAGAACAAGCCAGAAGATGAGGCTGACGAGTGGGCACGCCGTTCCTCCAACCTGCAGTCTCGCTCCTTCCGCATCCTGGCCCAGATGACGGGGACAGAATTCAGTGAGTGCAGGCTCTCAGGGTGGCTGCAGAGGAGGGAGATGCTGAGGGGCCACCAGGGACCTGGGCCCAGCACTGCAGAAGCCAGGGAGTCCTGCTACCTGCCCTTGAAGGTGGGCCAGGCTTGATGGTTTGTCAGTGGCTGGCAGGGCTCCTTCTGGGCCTCTCAGGCAGGCTGTCCGGTGACAGCAGCCTTCTGCTCCAATGCCAACTCCAGCAGTGGGCAGCAGGCTTGGTGTGCAACTTCCGGGCGAGATGATTGCCCAGGGCTGGGATGAGGCCCTCTCAGGCTACCCCCTGACTCTTTCCCAATGTCCTCTGGGGCCTCTGCCCAGCACACAGTGGACAGGCAAGGGGGCAGTCACCGTGTGGGGCCTGGCTGAATCCTGGGGACTCAGTGCCCACAGAGCCCCAGCAGCTTTCCTTGCTGTGTCTCCCGTGAGTCCCCTGACCAGCTCCTTTCTACCAACAGTGCAAGACCCTGATGAAGAAGCTCTGCGAAGGTCAAGGTAAGTGCCTGGACTCAGGCTCTGTGGCCTTGCCCTCTAGCCCCGTCCCTCCCCGGGCAGCCCCCAGGTCACATCACTCATGGAAGGGACCTCTCAAGTTCATGGATTTGGAAAGCCTGGCCTGCAAAGGGCTCCAGCTGACACTAGCTTGAGGCAGCATCGTGAGTCAGTGAGGTGGGCACCTGGACCCGAGTCTCTGTCCTCCAGGCCCAGGCTACAAGAGCGAAGGCTCTGGGCTCTCCCAGCTTCATCCCTGGGCAGGGGGCAGGGCTGCTTTGGCCTTTGCTGGGCTGTTGAGAATGAGGGCAACTTTCCCTGTGAGGACACCCGGCTGGCCAACTTGCCCACCCACTCATCTCAGGGCCTGTCCCCCTATGATTCCGAAGGCTGGGCACTGAGAAACAGGCACACAGGGGGCTGTGCTGGACGTGAACGCCTGACCCCTGGACTCACCTGTCCAGACCCACATTGAGGTACCAGTTCTGTAAGTTGCTCAAAGCAAAATAGTTGCTGAAAAAAAAAGAACAAGCCCTGGACATGAGGATGGGTTTGTGCCAAGCTGGGGTCTTAGAGCATGGTTTCCCCATCAGTTGCAGGTCTGAGGCCACAGCCACCAACCTACCACTGTGGCCCGTCAGGTGCTCATAGCATGAGGTGGGCATGGGGGGGGGCATGCCATCCTGGAACTCACTGGAACCCGCTGGGGCCTTCCATGGTAAGGAGTAGGGCTCATTGTGATTGTATGTACACTTCCGGTAGCAAATATGTCATCTGCATGTTCTTCCCGGCACTGTCTGCCTTGGGCCAGTGCATCCTGTGGCAGCCTCTGTGCAAGGGGCTGGGGCTCAGAGGCACCCTCCCATCCTGGGCCAAGCTTTCTGTACTTGCTAACCAGCAGGCCCAACACTCAGTGGCCATGTGACCTGTGCAGAGTAGGACTCTGGAGCCAGCTTAGACTTGTGGATTTTATTTTTGAACCAACACTTTTGCCAACTCAAGTTGCTCCCACTTTTTGGCCAGGCATCCAAGCCTAAGGTGGGGTCCTCCCAGGCCTGCTAAGGATGGCATGCAGTCCCAATAACAGTTCTTAACCCTTCAGTGCCTGCAGGGCATCTAGAGAGTCCGCGATGAAGTGATGTTTGATTTAGCTCAAAAGTTAAGCTCCAGCTGCTTTAAGTGCCAGAGCTCTCAGCTCTCCCCTCCCGCTGTGCTCCGCTGTCCCTGCGTGCTGCTCCCATGCTTGTCTTGCCCTCCTCTTAGAAGCCACCCATGTAGCTGCTTCAGTGTGCAATGCAGATGTTCCCAAACATTTGATAAAAAAGTCTTTAAATCACACACCCCAGAGCAAGCGGCTTCAAAATCCCCCCGGGTTCCTTCCAGCAACAGGCCAGCAGGGGGCCTTTTTTCTCCCTCCTCTGAGACCCAGAGTCCTGCCTTCCTGGCTCCCTTCTGGTTCCTTAATGTTCTGCTTCCCTCCGATATGCAAGGCAGTCACGCTCAGCTTGTGCCTCATTAACCAGATGTCATTAGAACGGGAAAGAGTACCGTGGAAGTGCATTGCAGCAAACTTTTGTCTTTTCTTTCCCCTGGAATATTTGCAGGCTCTGCAAAGTTATTGAGTGAGGAGAGCACAAAGGCAGTGTTGAAGGTGGTCCCCAGGCCTCATCCTTGGCCTTCCCCTTCCCTCCTTCAAGGAGCATCTCTTGAAGTTTGTTCTGCCTGGTCTTGAGGGTAATTGAAGGGTGGGAGAGTAGTCCTTTCACCAGCGGCCTAACCCCATGAAAGTTTGGTTCAGCCTCAGCAAAAGGCAGCTTTCGGAGCCTCTCCCCCAGCTACGGCAGGGTTTCATGCTAGGGAAATCTGGGGAAGAGGGCCTGGGAAGTGGCTCCAGTTAGCTTCCTCCCTCAGTCCCAGGCAACTTCCCTCACCCCATCAGCACCTCTCTCTGGGGTCTCAGGCCCTGCAGTGGAGGCTCTGAAGCACCCAGCCAGCCTCTGCCCAGGTCTGGAGGGGCTCCTCTCCCTTCTTCTGACTTTAATTTCTGGAGAGTTATCCTCGTGGGCAGAGCCACCCATGTCACTGAATCCCAAGCAGTGATCCCATGGACCCAGAGGCAGGTGCAGTGGGTGTAGCAGTTCTAATCTGTCTGTGATTGAAGCCTAAAGCAGTGTGTGTGATCACTGGTCATGACTGGGGCCCCAGGCTCACCTACATCACTATCTGAGCAGAAGGGAACATGCCTTGTCCCACCCTGGTCCAGGCTGGTCAGGGGTCTTGCTCCTCAGAGGCCTGAGCCACACTTCTATCTGTCCCCACTCCCAAGTTCGAAGCTGCACCCCTAGACTCTCCTGGCCCATCTTGTTGGCTGAGAGCAGCCACCTACCTTCTCTTTCTCCTCCCAAATCCCAGCGGGGATTCTCAGGGTCTCTCTTGAAGGCTGAGTTTCCCCAGGAAGGCTTCCCTGTAAACTGCTTCCAAGTGTCTCACTCCAGCAGAGCCTGGGTTTGCCAATCCTGTGCATGGTGACACCTACACAGTCTTATGCCCATGCAAAGGTGCTTTCTCCTTCCTGGTGCTGTGTGGTGCTGTGTGGTGAGAAAGTTAGCGGGAATGTTGAGTGAGTAGTGTCAGGCATTCTGCACCAGGCAGGGGCTCTGGGACCTCGAGGTCAAGTGTGAATACACATGTCAAGAAGACTTTGCAAACTTTCCCTTCACCTCCATCACTGCTCTGCCTCCAAGGTCCACCCCCAGAGTCCCAGGGCAGCTCACAGCCCTCTTCTCCTCTCGGGTCCTGGCTCCTGATGGTATCTCTGTGTCTGGTAGCACGTAGCTTCCATCTGAGGCTCCAGTGCCAACCTGCTGGCTAGCCCAAGACAGAGTCTAATTTCCAGGGACTCTTTACAGGTGAGGTGGGGGAGGCCTGAACAGGCCAGGCATCAGCTATGAACTTCCCACCCTGGAAGGACCAGGCACCTTAGGAAACTGTCCAGGTTGCCTTGAACATCAGCCTTCTGCCTACTTCCACATGGGAACTACTCTAGTAGGTATAGGTGACGCTGTGGCTCCCCAGTTTCCATCGGAGGTAGCTGAAATAGTGCCTCCATCCCACAAACTGAGCCTCTAATCTCAGAGTCATCGCCACAGCTTCCTTCTGACTTTGGAAAGGCATTCCAGGGCCCTGATCACTCAAAAGGTCAGATCCACATTGGGCAGCCACATTGGGGATAGGGGTGGGGACAAGGCAGGGCTTGGATCTGCGAGGCATCTGGATCCCACTGCTGGGGGGAACTATCCAGGATGTAGCCCAGCATGTAACCCAGACATGCCCCTGATCCCTTACAAGTGCAGCCTCTGCGTTTCCCTGATGCCTGCCTGGGTAAAGAGCTCTGCATCTCCCCATCTTTCCAAGCGTTAGGAACAAAGCTGATCTTAGTGAAGAGTCCCTAGAGGAGCTGAAGGTGCATCACATAGCCCTTTCCATCCCAGATCATGCAAAAATCCTTCCATGCCCGTTTTCTATCATGCAGCCATTAAGCTTCTTCCAATAAGATGCCAGGGCTCACTGGCTCCCCCTCTTCCCTCCTGCAGCCTCTCAGATGCCCCCTTCCCTCCCTCTGCTGCGCAGTCTCTCAGTTTTGCCCCCCCTGCAGCCACCTCGCTTACACGCCGCACAGCATAGGGCCCTCCTGCCAATGGGTGCCCCCGCCAATGGGCCCCTTGTAAGAAAGCAATGAAAAAATTACCTCTCTTTTTTGGATTTTGAGTCCCTGGTGTTCTGCCACCCTAGCGAGTTTGAAAACCACAACTGGAGCACCAGGGATGTTGCCCCAGGTGCCGCTGCCTGAGCAGCCCCTGGGAGGTCGTCTTTCTTGCTCTTGCTCTCCTGTCTCTTTTCCTCTCTCCTGTGCCTTCCTCTCCTGGCTCCTTTCCTTGGCTAGCTGAGGATTTTTAAACAGCTTCAAGTAGAGCATGCTCACTAGATTGGACTCTCCAGGACTGTCCCTGTCCCTGTCACTAAGCACTAATGACAAACTATCACCCAGCCTCCACAGGCCTTGCTAGGACTTGACGATTTACAGGCAAACTGCCTGTGTCTGATCTTGTGCCCCTGTGTCCTCGGTAGTGTCTACGGGATGGTCAGGACTGTTTGTAGTGCTGTCAGCAGGACTCAAGGAGCCCCACCACATGGACTTTGCTCATGCCATCTCCACCCCTTTACCCCAACCTCAGATAGGCAGGTATGTGGCAAGGGAAGAAGACGCTGGCACTTAGATTGTGATTCTGCCCCTGAGTTTCTGTGTGGCTTTAGGTCATTCATGTGACCTCTCTGGGCTTCAGCTTCCTCTTAGTATAAGGAAAGTTCAGACTAGACTGGTGGTTTTCAAATATGTTATATGTTAGCAGTGGGTCCCTTTTGTCAAACAGTCTTAGACAGAGACCCAGTATGCAGGATTCAAGGGGTAGAGAGAGACAGAGACTGCCAGGTAAAGCAGGTGCAGAACCGAGGACCTCTGTGAGTGTGGGGACATGGGGGCCAGCCCCGATGACTGTTACTGTGCAGAAATAGAAGGCCAGCACTGCCACATCTTCTTTTCAAAGACTTAAAGTTGCTCTTCCTGATTTTTATATGCTAGCAATTCACTTTTTTTTTTTTTTTTTTTTTTTTGAGACAGAGTCTTGCTCTGTCTCCAAGGCTGGAGTGCAGTGGCGCGATCTCGGCTTACTGCAACCTCCACCACCCAGGCTCAAGCAATTCTCCTGCCTCAGCCTCCTGAGTAGCTGGGATTACAGGCATGTGACACCACGCCCGGCTAATTTTGTATTGTTAGTAGAGATGGGGTTTCACCATATTGGCCAGGCTGGTCTTGAACTCCTGACCTCAAGTGATCCACCAGCCTCGGTCTCCCAAAGTCCTGGGATTACAGGCGTGAGCCGCCGTGCCCGGCCAACTTCTTTTTTTTCTTTTTCTTTCTTTCTTTTTTTTTTTTTTTTTTTTTTGAGATGGAGTCTCACTCTGTCGCCCAGGCTGGAGTGCAGTGGTGCAATCTCAGTTCACTGCAACCTCCGCCTCCCGGGTTCAAGTGATTCTCCTGCCTCAGCCTCCCGAGTAGCTGGGACTACAAGCGCATGCCATCACACCTGGCTAACTTTTGTATTTTTAGTAGAGACGGGGTTTCACCATATTGGCCAGGCTAGTCTCAAACTCCTGACCTCGTGATCTGCCCACCTCAGCCTCCCAAAGTTCTGGGATTACAGGCATGAGCCACCACGCCCAGCCAACTTCTTAATTAAACTTTTTATTTTGAGATAATTGCAAATTCAGTGCAGTTATAAGAAATAATAGAGATCCCTAGTTCCCTTTACCCAGCTTCTCCCAATGGTAGCATCTTGCAAAATGAAAGCACAATATCACAACGAGGATACTGACACTGATACAGGCAAAACACAGAACTTCCCTTCACCCAGGATGCCCCATGCCGCCTTTTTATAGCCATACCCACTCCCCTCCAGCACCCACCCACCTCCTTAACCTCTGGCAACCACTAATCTGTGATCTGTCCTCCATTTCTATAATTTTGTCCTTTTCAAGAATGTTATATAAATGGAATCATACAGCATGGTACCATTTAAGATTGGCCATTTTTTAATCAGCATAATTCCTGGGGGTCACCCAAGTGGTTGAGTGTCCCAATAGTTCATCTATTCCCTTTTATTGCTAAGAAGCATCTCATAGTATGGACTCAGAAATTAATCTTTAAATTGAGTTGGAAGCACCGTACAGGTTAAACATACTGTGTTTGTGGCTGGATGGGGCCCTTTGGCCACCAGTGGGCACCTCTGGTCTGGAGGATGTGATCGGCCCTTCCAGCCTGGAAGGCCTGGATTCTGACGCCTGTGGCACTGGCCTTTCTCAGGTGCTCTCTTCCTCCATTCATTCCCACGTTTCTGACTGCTGCTTGCCTGCTCTGTACTGTGGCCTCAGCTGAGCAGGTGTGGCTTGAGCCCCAAGAGGCCCCACTGGTGGGAAGTGGCCAGAAGTCCTGGCCCTGTATCTGTGACAGTGACCTTGTGAGTATGTGTGGGTATGCACGCATGTGCCCAGGCTGTGCTCAGGCCTGGCGAGCAGGGGTGGGCAGGGGCTGTGTGCAAAATCTTCTCTCTGGGGACAGTGAGGCTTTTCGAGGCCAGGGCAGCACAGGGAAGGGGCAGGTCTGCCCACCAAGCCTCATCACGGGGGATAGGTGCTCCTTCTTCTTGATGCCCAGCTAGGGGACAGAGATCATGCGAGGTGCACCTGTCTGTTTGGTTCAATCCTGAGAGCTCACAGCCAAAGCAGCCCTGCCCAGCCCTCACTACATGGACCAGGGAGGCCCTCTTTGCTCAGTCTGCCCTCAGGGCCATTAGCCAGGTCCCTTCTCCACAGCCCCCAACTCACTCAAGGCAGGGACTTCAGTCCCTCCATCCTGGTCCCCAAGACTCTCGGTCTTCCCCTAACCCAGGCCTGACCTGGGTTACAATGTACCCCATGGATTGCATAGCTTCTCCAAGCCCGTTCCCTCCCTCCCATGCCCTCTGCCCCACCTGTTAGACAGGGGAATGGTGAACACATTCCCTAACCCCTTTCATTCTCCCTCTCTTCTCTCTCTTTCTGTCTCTGTCTCTGTTTCTCTCTCTCTCTCTCTCTCTCTCTCTCTGTGCCACAGGGAAAGGTTTGAAACGGAACGTAACAGCCCACGTTTTGCCAAATTGCGCAACTGGCACCATGGCCTTTCAGCCCAAATCCTTAATGTTAAAAGCTAAAAGGCTGCCTGGAATCCCCCCACCCCAACAGGCTGGACTCCCTCCATCCTTACCCCCACACAGATCTGGCATGTGAGCCCCACGGTGATGCTTGACAATGTATAACTCTGCTGGGGGCACCTCTGATGGCCAACCGCAGCATTTCTGTCCTCTGCCCACCCCAGAGCTGATGCTGGGGCCCAGCCCCCTGCAGCTCTGTACCCACCAAACCTCCCCAGGGCAACCCTCGCCACCCCCCAAATAGCCCGTAGCCCAATCCCCTGCCCTCTGCACAGGGCCTTAGCTGTAGACCAGAGAGGGCAGGAGGGGTTTGCTGGCATAACACCCCAGAACCAAGGGAAATGGATGGGCCGCTGCTCAGTTTCCCACCATCCTCAGCTCCTGGCCTCATCCCCTCCTAGAATGAGTCACCCGTAGATCAGGGTCTGGGGAAGAGGCTGATCCCTGGCGCTGCCCGGCTCCCTCGCTGCCCTCTGGAGCTCAGGGCAGCCCGGAATAGGGCTCTTTGAAGAGGAAGTAGAAGCCCCAGGGTAATGAGGCAGAGACCCCTCCTGGCAGTGGTGAGGTGGGGGCATGCACCCTCCTTTCTGTACCGTGTGTGCTGGCTCCATAGTTCTCTCTTCTGTACATATAAGCATGCTTGTTCTGAAATAAAGAAGATTTGAAGTGAACCACACCAAGCCCCAGTCATGCTGTGCCTGTGTGTGTCCCACCCAAGAGGGGCTGTGAGGGCATGATCTGGGACAGAGAGAGGACAGGCACCATCAGAAGAGGAGCAGGGGCTGTGTCCACCGGCCCCAGGACACAGCGCAGCTCTGGTCCTGCTGCTCTCCTGCCCCACAGGTTCCGAGCCCAGCTGCAACCCACGGCGGGAGGATGGCTGGTGGGAATCTGTGCTGAGGCCCATTGGGCAACCTTAGTCACCCACAGGACAGTGCATATGGGAATACTCGAATGCCCCCTGCCTCTCCTTCCACACCCTGCTGCAACCAGCAGACTGAGCCATTGTCCTGCCCCACCCCATCAGAAGGCACCCCGCAAGCTGTTCTCACAGGAAGGAGCTACTTATGCTCGATCCTGGTCCAGAGGCGAGAGAAGGGCTCCAGTGGGCACACCTGGGCTGAGAAGCAGTTCACAAGGGAACTCAGGGGGCCAGGGCTGGGGCTCAGGGGAAAAGAGATGGAAGGCAGCCCTGGCAGATTCTTGCTCAAGTGGCAGGAGGCAAGAGGGCTGGGAAGGCTTCCACCTGGGTCTTGCTCCCAGCTCCCACCCACCTGTGGCCTTGTCCTAGTCCTGGGCATTTAGGAAGGGCTAGGAAGGGCAGCAGCAGCCAAAAAGATCCCAGCCAGGCCTCAGGCTCATGTCCTGCTGAGCTGTAAGCCACTAGCTAGCACCCCATTCACCTGACCCAGGCCTGACCACTTAGAAAGTACCCCATGATGGCAAAGCTTCTCCAGGCCAATTCCATGTCCCTGATTGTGTGAAATCACAGGCTGAGGACATGAGAGTGGTGGCACTTACATTAGAAGCAGATGCTGAGGCCCAGCCCTCAAGGCTGTCCTGCCTTTTCTGTGGCTGGGCTAGCCAGAGCTCTGCGCCCATTCCTGCTGCCTGGGCAGAGGCTTTCCCTCTGCCTCCAGGAACCTTCGCAATCCCACCAGGAAGCGTTGGTGTTTGAGGCCGCTCTCTCCTGCCCATCCACCCTGAGATGCTCCCTAAAGCCCCCTGCCAACCTATTCTGGCCTCCCACCCCATCCTGCCTCCAGCAGTCTGATGCCCGGGCCAGGCAGCCTTCATCCCGCTGCCTTCATCTAGGCCTCCTGGAACACACTCATATTTGGCTGATGTTTTACAGAGGACTTGCAAGGCCCAAGGGTGGGTTGGGGGCAGGGGTCTGCCAGATAGAGAGAGGTCCTGGGCAATGGGTATCCTGAGGCTGGCAAAGCCTCAGCCAACCACTAAGAGTTGGCGGGCTCTTGGACCCCTGCTCCCAGACCCCAGCCTGTCGGAGCTCTCTTGGAGCCACCTAGTTGAAGCCCTGCCTTCCCACCTACCCCAGACCCCTTCATGTAGTGCCCTGGGGGGCCCCAGGCTGGGTTCCATGTAAACCCCTCAGTATAAGCAGGAGAGATGTTCTCATTCAGCATCCGGTGTCTGTGGGCATTTGTGGAGGTGCCTGACTACTATGGGTGCTAAAGGAATCGGAAAGGGCCGATGCGGCTGTGTTCCCAATGCAAGGTTGATCATGTATGGTCCAGAGACAGGGAGCATCCCTCCAAGTGGTGGATCAAAGAAGGCTTCCTGGAAGAAGAGGTCAGTGTATTTTATCATCAGGAATGGTTAGAATTTGGGTGGAAGCAGATACAAAAGGCTGGACAGATACTCTAAGCAGAACAAGCAGAGGTGCTGATGAGAAGTGGTGTCCCAGAACCCCAAGTTAATCATTTTAGTTGGAATGGAGAGAATGCAGAGGATGTCATGGTTAGTAGTGGTCTGCATCTAGACTCCCAGGCTATGGGATTTTGAATGCATTCTGAAGGAAAGTGGAACTAGCAAAGGCTGTAGGGTGCCTTTCACACTATAGCTGATGAGGTGTTCTTCATCTAGACCACAATGGCAATGTGGGCCCTGGAGTTGCATGGAGCATTCCTGGGGCAAAGTGATGCAGCTCAGGGTTCCCCTGAGCCATAGTCACCAGGCAGCAAGGTGGAACATAGACCAGGTGGGTGGCAGCATGAATAATTTCAAGACCAACCACCTGACTGGCATTCTATCATCACCCAATCAACAGAGATTTTCATGCTCTACCATCTTAACTAACACAAGTAGCATCATCACCCCCACAGTGGCAACCACCCCTTCAGCACTGTCAATACCAATCACAAGGCCCCCACCATCACCAACAGTTCTGACCAAGCCCAGTGGCAACAACCCCAAGACCCAGCATCACCACCACCATTCCCATCCTTTCCAGACATAATATCATAGTTATCAATAACAGCATCAACCAAACCCCACCATTCCCACCACCAAGGGCCACCATGGAAGAGCAGGGGCACACAGTCAACATGCTCCACCTTGATGCTGACCAGACTGAGGGAAGAGATAAGCTGAAAAGGGGACGATGGTCAGGCTGTGTTTCTCCTGGCCACGCCAACCCCCCATGGAGCCATGAGCATGTGGGCCTAGTTTGGTTTGATTTGGTTTTTGCTTAGATGTTTAAACTGAATTATGACTAAGGCAGGAGGCAACTGTAGACCTTAGATCAGGATGGGGTGATCTCACCAGCACTGTCCTTAGGAATGAAGCCAGGACCAAGTAAGTTCTCCACAGTGCTTGCTCTATGATGCCCCCTTCAGAATGCTTCAGAGGGTTTGTGGAACTTCAGGCAGGAACTGACCTGGAATAAGAGCCCAAGATCCTTCAAGATACCCTTTGATGCCTCCTCTGCCTTCCCTAGCCCTGGCTTCTTGGTGTCTTTAGACAGTGTGCTAGAGAGGATGCTACTCAGCAAGAACCCCAAGCAGCAGGCTCCCTTACGTGCATACCCAGGTATACCTGGTGGTGATCATCGTCCTGGTGCTGTGGTCAATGATGAATTTTCCTAGGGCCCACATCCAGCTCCAACTTCATGCCCTGGAATCCAGGGTTCATTTGGAGCTCTGGCTGCGGAGAGCAGCAGGTAAGCTGGCCTAACAGTGAATTGGAGCCAAGGAGACAGGCAAAGCCAACCTCCTATTCATCCTACAGAATATTGTCCCCAGCCTGGACACTGTCATTGTCCTTGTCCTGTGCAGTGTCCTCATTTCCCAGCAGCCTACTGGAAGTGTGGTGTAGGGCCATGGAGAGCAGATAAAGGAGATCAGTGTTCTGTGTCAGCCTGAGCCGTCCCAGGCCATACCTGCCCACACTGAGAGGAGGGTCTGAGCAGCCAGCTCAGTGGCGTGGCTACAGAGACTGCAGCTACTTCTCTGAGGCAGTCACATCACCGGCATGGCTTCCAGAAGCGAGGTTCTTTCATAGGTGGGTTCGTGGAAGGGCCAGGGCCAGGCACGGCTGCAGGCCTGCAAGCTGGGCTGCCCAAGACCGCCTCCCTGAGCATTAAGTCAGGGAAGACCTGGGCAGGATGTAACCACTGCTCTTGCCCATCCCAAAAGCTTCCCACGCAGTTATGGAGAAGGATGGCACTCTCTCTCCCATGGGGGCAGTCAACCTCAACCTTGCCACTTCTCCAGCTCCATTCTTCCGTGACCCTGTCACAATATTTCATGCCCTTTTTACCATACACCTCACCAGATGAAGGAAAGTAATTCAGTAATGCTTTTGCAAATAGCTGAGGGCCCGCTTGCATTCCTATCTAGGGCAGACCCCTTTAGTGTCAGCTACTCCAAGTGTGGCCTGTATACAGACCAGCAGCATCAGCATCACCTGGAAGCCTGTTAGAAAAGTGGACTCTTGGCCGGGTGCAGTGGCTCACGCCTGTAATCCCAGCACTTTGGGAGGCCAAAGCAGGTGGATCACCTGAGGTCAGGAGTTCGAGACCAGTCTGGCCAACATGGTGAAACCCCAACTCTACTAAAAATAGAAAAATTAGCCAGGCATGGTGGCTCATGCCTGTAATCACAGCTACTCGGGAGGCTGGGACAGGAGAATTGTATGAACCTGGGAGGCAGAGGTTGCAGTGAGCCGAGATCGCGACATTGCACTCCAGCCTGGGCAACAGAGCGGGACTCCGTCTCAATTTAAAAAAGAGAAAAAAAAAAAAAGAAAGAAAGAAATGTGGATGCTCAGTTCTGCCCCAGACCTACTCAACTAGGATCAACTTCATTTTAACAGGATCCCCAGGGGCTTCAAGCACACATGGAAGTTTGCAAAGTGTTATAGTGGTGAGGCCCCAAGCCCTTTTTTGCCATTTTGCAGCTTTGTGATGTTTTACTAGAGACACAATCTTTCTGGACCTCAGATTTCTCATCTACAAAATGAGGGTCACAATCCCAATGGCTCAGGGAGGTTTAAATGATAAAATTGAGTAATAGGGTAATTTCTTTTTTTTTTTTTAAGATGGAATTTCGCTCTTGTTGCCCAGGCTGGAGTGCAATGGCATGCATGATCTCGGCTCACCGCAACCTCTGCCTCCCGGGTTCAAGGGTTCAGCCCCCCGAGTAGCTGGGATTACAGGCATGCGCCACCACGCCCAGCTAAATTTTTTTTTTTTTTTTTTTTGAGACGGAGTCTCGCTCTGTCGCCCAGGCTGGAGTGAATTGGCGTGATCTCGGCTCACTGCAAGCTCCACCTCCTGGGTTCACGCCATTCTCCCGCCTCAGCCCCCAAGTAGCTGGGACTACAGGCACCCACCACCACGCCTGGCTGATTTTGTTTTTGTATTTTTAGTAGAGATGAGGTTTCACTGTGTTAGCCAGGATGGTCTCGATCTCCTGACCTCGTGATCCGCCCACCTCGGCCTCCCAAAATGCTGGGATTACAGGCGTGAGTCACTGTGCCCGGCCTAATTTTGTTTCTTAGTAGAGACAAGGTTTCTCCACGTTGGTCAGGCTGGTCTCGAACTCCCGACCTCAGGTGATCCACCTGCCTCAGTCTCCCAAAGTGCTGGGATTATAAGCATAAGCCACCACGCCTGGCTAGGGTAATTTCTTTTACTGTGGTAAGCACTTAGTAATGCAAAGTATTGTTATTCTAATTATTTCCAATAAGAATAGTGCCTTTTATTGGGGAAAGAGTCTACTTGGCTGATCACAACAAGAGGTTTATTTCTTCCTCCATGAGGTACCGGTTAAGGATTCAAATCACAACATCCCTCAATCAGATCCTGCTATTCTTACTGATAAGTTGTAGGACCTTGAGCAACTGAATTCTCTTTGTTACCATTTCCTCATCTATTAAATAAGAGTCCATGATACCAACATCAGAGGGCTGCTGTGAGGAAGTAAAGACATCATTCCTGGCACATAGCATGAGGTCAATAAACAAACTGCATAGTGTAGGGGGAGTCATTCCCACTTGCAGAAGCTGCATTTATCCAGTTGCTGTTATTGCAAAAACAAATCAAAGAGTAAAGAATGTGCATTTCTTTGCTTTCCTATAATTTAATTTTTATTCTCTGCCCACCCCATTTTACAGTTAGCAACCCAGCTCTGACTGCTCTTGTCTTCCTAGAGTGGTTCTAGGGAAGAGGTGCTTACAGAATGCCAAGGCACTCAGGGTGGGGGTGTGGGGGCACACCTGGTCCTCTGTCAGGTTCTGCCTGCACTGGCATTTGCTGAGACATCCCCAACCCGTCTGGTCCACACTGGCAGTGTGGTCGCCTTTCTCTTTCCCAGTTACAAGGTCTTTCAGATCTGCAGGTGCTCAGGACCATGTTCTTGTCACTCTTGGGTGCATGGCAAATCCTCTAGGGCACCCAGGCCACACAGAGGCATGGGGATCTTTGGGCTATTTCAGGTCTGCCTGGCCCCTCACCATGGGCATGGGGAACCCTGGGGTCCTGCTGCTTCCTCAGGGTTGACCTTGAAAAGGGGCACAGGGGCTTCTATTCTTGAATCCCCTTGCCACAGTGCCCACTTTTGTCCAGGTAACCTTGCTCTGCCTGGCATGGTAGCTTTCAGCCATCTGTCTTGTTGGTGCCCTGAGTCCTTCCGAGCCCAAAGCCTAGGTTCTCACAACTCCAGAGCCTAAGCCCTTGACACTCAAATATCTTCACTCTGCTTTTTTTGCTGTATCATTCCTTCCCAAGGTAGCACATGCCCCCTGACTGAATGGGGAAGGGTGAAAACAGGATCAGGGAGGAACCTGGGTGGATAATTCCATCGGCCTTTCTACCACACTGTTTTGCTGAAAAAGAAAAATTAGGAAGTACAGAAAAATTTGAGGGGTGGGGGTGGGAAATTCCTCCAGGATTGAAAAAGTTTTTGATGTTACTGGAACCCTCCTGTGGTCTGAGCCTCTGCTCCTGGGATCCTGGAGGAGCTCCTTCCCTGAGCTGGAAGACACACCCTCTGAGGATCCTACTCTGTTTGCAAGGCAGGTGGAGCTTTCTGCCCAGCCTGCCTCTGCTGCAGCCACCTGCCCCCATGCAGAGGGGCCTCACAGGGTCTCTAGGCTCCCTTGACCTGTTGTCTTTTTGGTCCCGCCTCATCAGCACCCCTATTGAGCATGCGCCGGTGTGCACCAGCCAGGCCACCACCCCGCTGCTGCCCGCTTCTGCCCAGCCACCTGCTGCTGCCTCTCCCAGTGCGGCTTCGCCACCCCTGGCCACAGCTGCTGCCCACACTGCCATCGCCTCCGCCTCCACCACAGCCCCTGCTTCAAGTCCTGCCGACAGCCCAAGGTAACTGGGCCACAGGTGCTGGGCCTGACCCTGGGGAAGGGAGGCAGGAAACGCCCCACTCTGGGTCTACCTGTGGCCAGCTGTGTCCAAGGTAGTTAGGGCCCGCAGGCCTAGAGGAAGCCAAGGCCAGCGCTGCTTGGTGCAGAGTGTGAAGGGGAAACTGAGGGTGAATTACAGGGGTGTGCACCACTGTGGCGGGGACTGTCACTCTGCCCCCCAGGGACACATACACCGGTGAGAGAGGTAACAGTGTCTCTCTCTGACACATATACCAGTGAGAGAGGTAACAGTCTCTCTCTCTTTCTCACAGACACATACACACACTCATACACACAAAGTTAGATAACAAAAGGGGACTGTGGAAAAAGTCTTTGTTCCTGGAACTCAAATTAGATAGAATGAAAGTTGTCCCTGTGGGCTGGAGAAATCAAGGAAGGCTCCATGGAGGAGGCAGCATTGGAGCTGGGCAGGGAAGGCAGGTCAGATTTCCTCAGAGAGTTCAGCCATGTTAACGCCAGAGGCACCTGGTATAGTGGGATTTATATCTGCTCCACAGCTTACTGTGTGTAACCTTGAAAAAGTGACTGAAGCTCTCTGAACCTCAGTTTCCTCATCTGTTAAGATGTTTACCTAACACTTATTATATAGAATTATGATAGAAAAAATGTCTGTAAAACACCTAATACATATGAAGGACACAAGTATTGTGAGTTCCTGCATCTGCCCTCCTAGACACCCAGCAAGCAGAGACCAAAGGCCAGGGGAGAAGAGCGAAGGCAGAGAGGCCAGGCTGACAGGTCACTCTGCAGTGGCCATGTGGCGCATCAGGCTGGATGGGGCCAGCTCTCTGTCTGGGCTTCCAAGAGTAGGCCAGTTAGTGTTTGGGGTCAGAGCCCAGGTGTCCCAGGCCTCCCACCCTGGCCCCCACGGTTTGCTGGGGAGGACATGCCTCTTGGATCAGGATGGGTAGGTCCATGGTGCAGCCTGAGGTGGGATTGATGTGAGCAAACCGGCTTGCAGGCCTGTCTGCTGCCCCCATCCCGGGCTTCACATTAACCACATGGTGCCAAGCCCAACCTTTCCCCAGCCCAACTCAAGCCTGAAGGAGGAGCCTGGCCCTCCAGGGATGGTTTCATCCCAGTTTCCTGGGGGGATTTAGGACACTGCTTCCCCTCTTTATACCAGAATCTCTTCATATAAAGGCCTTGCTACCTGCAGAAAGATGAAACTTTGAGGAGGGCAAGAAATGCCTCTGTTTTTGAGTGGGAAGAAGCCTCCCAATATGAATGGTGAGGGGCTATAAATGCTGGAGCCCTGCAGGCAGTCTAGCCTCATCCCTGGGGCCCCAACCCTGCTCAAAGGCAGGCACCAGCACCAGGCTTAGGTCTCAGTGTCCTGGGCCTGCCCACGGCTGAGCTCCTGGAACCCTTGGGATGCCCCCCACAGGGGGAGTCCTCCCTTCCTTCCCTTTGCCTTGCCAGGAGAGCTGGGACCTGGGTGGAGCTTGGAGAGGGGCACAGAGGGCTGGCTGCCCAGCGGGGAGTGGGGCTGGAGCAGAAGGGGTCACGGGTTTGCACTCTGAGCAAAGCTACCTCCGCTCCTCACACATGGGCTGGGGTGGAGCGGGAGGTGGGGGAGCCCATGGGAGGCAAATGGACTCCCCAGCCTTTCATGGGAGCATGGCTTCAGAATTTTCAATGGATGCCATAAGCCTCTGCTCCCTTTCCCAGTGCCAGTCCCTGACTCAGGACCTGTAGCTCCTGGGCTGTGGGCAAAGTGTCCTCCAATGATGGAGTCCAGCTAAGACCACTGCACCTTGGCCCGCCCCCATCACTATGGAAGCCTGGCACCCCTTGGACACTGTCTCTTCCTCTTCCATGGAGACCCCTACTCTGCTGGTCTTAGCACAGGAATCTATCCAGAGAAGGGCAGGTGGGCCTGGGGAGGGGAGACAATAGCTTCACTCAGCCAGAAACTCGGCAGCTTGACAGGGCAAGTGTGCACAGCCCCCTGGTCTGGGATGCCAGCTCCCTGAGGCTCATTTTATCTCCGCCTTGTCTGGGACAGCCCCTCAGACCTCTCTGGATCCACTCAGAAGCTTGGTGGTGGGTTCTCATGCCAGGGCCAGTCCCTTCTCAGAGCCCCAGAGAGGAAGGCACTCCTCATCCTACAGCTCTGCCCAGCAGGGATCGGCAGGCCCCAGGTCCTTGAGGAACAGACAGAAGGAAGGCAGAAAGCCATGTGGGGGTGGCAGGCAGGGCTCACTTCTCCAGCACCTCTAGCAATAACCCATTTGCCCTGGGTGTGGGCATGTGGTCCCCTTTGAGATCTGAAAGACCAGGGATGTGTTCTGCAAGGTGTTCATTAGTTTTAAATGAAGAAAAGCATTTTACAAACAAATACAATTGGGGAACACTGATCAGACAAGGCTCAACAGGCCGCTGGATTCCAGGAGTTCTCAGAGCCTTCAGCTCTCTGGGAGGAGAGGCCACGACGCACAGACTCTCCTGAGGGTAATGAACTAGGACGCTTTTTTTAAAATCTCTTTGACCCCATTGTCCCTGGGCCACACATGGGGAAAGGTGACCCTAGGCCCCTTGAAAACTAACCCAGTTGGAGGAGGGCAACAGGAACTCTATGCAGAAGAGGTGTGTGTTGGGGGAGAGGGGGGTGCCTTGGGCAGCAGGCGGGGGCAGTCTCCTGACTTCCCCTGAGCTCTCACTGGAGCATCTGTGCCCAGAAACCTGAGACTTTGCTGTTCCTTCCAGCAACAATAGAAAAGGGTAGGCAGAAGAGGCCAGGTGGTCAGGGGCTGAGGTGCCCCACAAGGTCGTGGGGGTAGGTAGTTCTGACCAGCGCCATCTCTCTCCTCTCCCCTACCTATGCGCTCTTCCACAGTCCCACCTGGACAGTCTCTCCCCATGAGAGTGAAGGGTCTTCCCGGTGTCCTCCTGGTGGCTTTTCTCCCTCTCTCCAAAGGCGGTGGCACTAGCCACCCAAGGAACATCCTCCTCCCCTCCAAGACCCTCATGGTCCTTCCTTCACAGTTTCTGGCAGTTCCCCAGAAATGTCTCTGTCAGGTGTCCTCACAGAGGCTTCTGAAGACCTGGGAGCCAGCCTGCCTTGACTGCAGGCCCCAGTGGGGGCTGTCCTTCTGGGTGTAACCCCTCCCCGCTTGGTTCCAGGCCCCAGGCCTCTTCCTACAGCCCCGCAGTGGCCGCCTCTTCAGCACCTGCCACCCACACCAGCTACAGTGAGGGCCCCGCCGCCCCTGCACCCAAGCCCCGGGTTGTCACCACTGCCAGCATCCGGCCTTCTGTCTACCAGCCAGGTAAGAGGCAGAGCAGGAGGGGAGGCTGTCGAAAGCCATGGGCGGGCTCCAGGAGCCACAAGAGCCAAGAAGTGGCTCTGGGGGCACATCCCCAGAAGAATGGGAAGCAAGGCCTTGCTAATGATGCTCCGCCCTCCGTCCCCTAGCTGTGGGTCAGAATCCTATGGAGCCTGCATCTGGTCTGGGGGAGACAGGTGAGCAAGAAAGCGGTGGATGATTCTAAGGGAGAGCGAAGGAGAGCAGAGAAGTCTTCTCCGGACCGGGCATGGTGGCTCACACTTGGAATCCCAGCACTTTGGGAGGCTGGGGCAGGAGGATCGCCTGAGGTCGGGAGTTTGAGACCGCCGGGGCCAACATGGCGAAACCCCATCTCTACTAAAGATTCAAAAATTAGCCGGGCGTGGTGGCACCCACCTGTAATCCCAGCTACTCGGGAGGCTGAGGCAGGAGAATCGCCGGGAGGCCGAGGTTGCAGTGAGCCGAGACTGCACCATTGCACTCCAGCCTGGGCGACAGAATGAGACTCCATCTTCTCTGTGTCATGCCAGTGTGCGAGATTTGGCCGCAGCCATGGGGGTACAGAACAGCACATAAGGAGCCTAGACTCGGGAGCAGGTCCTATCCAGGCGCAGGGAGAAACCCCAGGGAAGTTTTCTCTGCCGCTGGAGCCCAGGGAGATGAGACAGGCACTGAGTCAGGGCAGGCCTTGCTTCGGGGCGCTGGTTCATGAAGCTCGCTCTGACAGCAGGGCTGAGTGTGGGCGGTCGAAGCGGCTTTTGCCCGAGACAGAGGCCGGTGCCACGGCCTGCTCTGCTCTCGAAGGCAAAGTGCCTCATCCATCCAGGCTGCGCTGTTCATGGACACCTTGTGTTCTGGGGATGGAATGAAGCACCCAGCACAGCGTCTGTCACACGGGAGGTGCCCTTCTCTGTCCCTACAGAGAAGGGGCAAGGATAGACGGTTCTGAGGTGAAAACTCCGCAGGGCGAGGTGGCATTTTGCAGTAGTGAAAAGCCTTAGATGGAGCAGTGGGAAGAGGCTGCCCCTGCAGAGACTGGGAACACAGGGAGGGGAGGCTGGAGAGGAGTTGGAGGAGAAGCGGCGGGTGGAGGCGAGGCCTTGCCGGGGCACAAGGAGGACATTTCCGTCTCTTCCTGGGGAGGCGCTTCTGGCACCTTCCGGGGCGGCCTCCGGCTGTCTTCGCCCAGCCCGCCAGGCGGCGTCAGGGCTCCGGGGGCGCGCGGCCAGCCCGCCCTGCGTCTCCTTCCTCCTCCTTCCCGGGCTGGGGCCCAGGCGAGCGAGACGGGCCGGAGCCGCGGGCCCCCGCGCCGTTCCCAGGCCGCGCAGACATTAACTCATTCCTGCCTAGGGGGAAAGAGGCGGCCGGGCGGGCGCGCGCTGGAGTCGGCCTGCCTCCACCTCCCTCTCCGGGAGGCCCGGCTGCCAAGCGGAGTCCGGGGGCGGCTGGCAGGCGGCCCCGTATGAAGTGGGGCGTGTGGTCCCGAGCCCCCCTCCGCTCCCCTTCCCTCCAGGCTCTTCGGATCCGGGCGTCAGAGAGGGCGGGGAGCCCGCGCGGGACCCGGAGCGCCGCGGCCGCAGCCGCAGCTCCCCCCGGGGCCTCCTCCGGGCCGAGGGCGGCGTTCGCAGGCCGGATCTTATCGCTGGCGCCCGAGGTGGGCGGCCGCTCCCCGGAACACCTGAGGCCCGGGAGGGGGCGGGCGGCGGCGGCGCGGAGACCCTGCGCGCGGGCCGGGGACGGTCACGTTGGCCCGCGGGCCGGGCGGCGGCCAGGCGCTTGCGGAGAGCCGGGCCCGGCCCGGCGTGAGTCAGAAATCACCTTGTTTAATTACATATCCCCGAGCCCGCCGAGTGCGATAGGGGACTTTTGAACTTGCCAATTAGAGATGAAATATCACCTTCTAATTTAGACTGGCTTAATTCCGTCACGCAAAAATAGCAACAGCCCCGGGGCTGCGAGATGGGATATCAGGTCTCTCCTGGCGTGACGGCGAGCCAGGCTGAAGGATGCAGAAGCTGAGGGCTGCGAAGCGCCACTGCCTGCTCGCCCCCCGACGGAGTCGGGGTTGCGACGGGGGAACGGAGCTGCCGGGCCGGGCCACCGAGGCCGGGGAGGTTCCTTCTCTGGGTGGGTTAGCCCCAAGCAAGGAAGCCGTCAAATCGGGGTCCAGATTCTAGCCTGCCTCTGTGAGACCTCTGTGTTGTGGGGGCTGGAAAAGAAAAGGAGGTGGATCCGGGAGTCTGTAAGGCCTTCCGATGGAGGGAAGCGACTGCCAGGCAGGGGGAATAGGGTTAGTATTGCTGGAGGGAGGCAGGAAAGGTGGGCCAGGGCCCTGTTTACTTGAAAGGGGGCGTACTAAAGCCTGTTTTGCTGCTTGGGGAGTTTCTAAGCGGGCATCTGCTGTTGAGTCTGGCAGCCTGAGCTCGTTTCGGCTAAGCAGTTCACCAGCTGGATGACTTGGAGGCAGCCATTTAAGCTCTCCAAGTCTCAGTTCCTCATCTGTAAAATGGACTTGCAAATATTATCTGCCTCCTTGGATTGCAGCGAGTAATAAGGCACGTAAAGGGCCTGGCATGTGGAAGCAGTCATTTTGGTGAAGGCAGCACCACGCAATAGAAATTTCCTATTAGCCACATTTTTAAAAAATAAAAGAAAGCAAGTTAAATTCATTTTAATATATTTTCTTTGACTACATATATTTAAGATATCAGGCCGGACGCAGTGGCTCACGCCAGTAATCCCAGCACTTTGGGAGGCCGAGGCGGGCGGATCATAAGGTCAGAAGATCGAGACCACCAGGGTAACACGGTGAAACCCCGTCTCTACTAAAAAAGTACAAAAAATTAGCCGGGCGTGGTGGCGGGCGCCTGTAGTCCCAGCTACTCGGGAGGCTATGGCAGGAGAATCACTTGAACCCAGGAGGCAGAGGTGGCTGTGAAGCCGAGATTGCGCCACTGCACTCCAACTTGGGCGACAGAGCAAGGCTCCGTCTCAAAAATATATATATATATATATAATTTCAACATATAATCAATATAAAATAATTATTAATGTGCCTTCAAAATCTGGTGTGTGTTTTACACTAACGGCACTTCTTGGTCGGACTAGCCACATTTCAGCTGCTCATCGGCCACGTAGCACTATGTATTGGACACCGCAGGATTAGGGCTTCTGGTCTTAATCTTTTTATTTTTTGAGATGGAGTTTCTCTTTTGTTGCCCAGGCTGGAGTACAATGGCACGACTTCGACTCACTGCAACCTCCACCTCCCGGGTTCAAGAGATTCTCCTGCCTTAGCCTCCCGAGTAGCTGGGTTTACAAGGCGCCCACCACCATGCCCGGCTACTAGAAGTTTTAGTAGAGACGGGGTTTCACCATGTTGGCCAGGCTGATCTCGAACTCCTAACCTCAAGTGATCCACCGGCCTCAGTCTTCCAAAGTGCTGGGATTACAGGCGTGAGCCACCGCGCCCAGCCAATCTTAATCTTTTTTAGCAGAGAATTGCACTTCACAAAGAAAGGAAAGAAAATGTTGCACAGAACCCCCTTATATATAACAGAGGGATGAAGCTGCTCTGAAGTTGTGCTAGATCACCTCTCCCTGCTCTCTGTCCCTGGTGGTGTTCCTGGAATCACTTCTTCCCCCAGCATTTTGATATTCTCTGCAAAGTTGTTAGGGAGGGTGACAATACCTCAAATTTGGGCTGTACACATTTACAAAATCCATTCACTATGTCACCCCAGCAGGTCCCCAGCATGCCCTGTGGGGCAGGCAGGGTGTCAGGCATTCCACCACCACTGAATAGACCTCAGTCTCAGGTTATCTGACTTCAGGATGTTCCATTTCCCTTCCCTCCTCTCCCCCAACCCTAGGCGCTACCAGTCTAACTGGGCTGGGCTTCCCTAGGTGAGCAGCAGGCCATGAGACAGGCTGACAGTACATCTGACCCTGACACCCAGGTTGCCCCCATCCTTGCCATCCTCACTCACATTTAGTGACACACTATGCCAGGTACTAGGCTACGCTCTTTATATTTCTTACCTTCCCTTAATCCTCATAATAACCTTGTGAGATACTAAGAATCAGTATTGCCAGTTTTAGATGAAGAAATTGAGGCCCAGAGAGGTTAAGGAACTTGCCCAAGGACACAAAACCAGGAGGTAGTAGAGCTGGATCCTGCAGCCAGGGCTCTTGGCTATGCTATCAAGACTCCACAGCAGGGGGTCTCCTTCATGTTGAAAATGACTCCTCCCTGACATGTTGCACTGAGATTTTCTAGAAATTGGACTCATATTCTTTACAGAGGCAGCTTGGGATGATAGAATGAATGGATTTGGAGATGTATTCCCACTTACTAGCTCTGTCTGAGCCTCAGTGACCTCAAGTGTAAAGAGGGAATAATGTGAAGACCGATTCAGATGACAGATGCTATGTGCCTCGTTACCCCTAAAGGGGAGGAAGATTCCTTATGGAGAAGGTATTATCTTTTTTTTTTTTTTTTTTTTGAGATGGAGTCTTGCTCTGTTGCCCAGGCTGGAGTGCAGTGGTACGATCTCGGGTCACTGCAAGCTCCGCCTCCTGGGTTCACGCCATTCTCCTGCCTCAGCCTCCTGAGTAGCTGGGACTACAGGCACCCGCCACCACACCCAGCTAATTTTTTGTATTTTTTTAGTAGAGATGGGGTTTCACCACATTAGCCAGGATGGTCTCGATCTCCTGACCTCATGATCTGCCCACCTCAGCCTCCCAAAGTGCTGGGATTACAGGCGTGAGCCACCATGCCCAACCGGTATTATCTTTTGAAGGCCTCACTGGCAGGATGGCTCCAGGGCAGGGCTGTGGAGGGTTTTATCTCTTCTTCCTTCAACAACATGGATGGATCCTATCTACCTGGTCCCTACTCACCCCCAGCACAGGGATTTCCAGCTCACCCAGCTCTGAAGGGTGGGTCACCTGGGAGTGGAAGGTGCAGAGTGGGAGCCACAGGCTGCCCCAGGCGGTCCAGGGGAACCAGGTGGGAAAGAGAGACTGGAGATGGGGCCAGGGTCTTAGGCCCTAAGGAAAACCTTCCTCTCCAGGTTGAGGCTGGAGTATGGGGTGGGGGGCAGAGGCGGGGTGTGGGTGCAGGGACTGCCTCAATGCAGTCCATCCTGCCCATACTGAGCTCAGGAATGGGGAGGGAGGCTGTGCTGACATGCTTCCTAGGGTTGGGGGAATGAGGCCTCTTTGCTGAGGAGCAGACTGAAATGTGGTGAGGCTTCTGGAACCTCACTCACTGGAAGAGGAAGCCAGCTGGACCTTGCCTGCAGGGTGCAGCTGGGTCTGCCCTGGCTAGGTGTTGAGGGCCCAGGCGGGAGAGGGCTGTGGGTAAGCAGTGGCAATGCTTTTTCTGTGCTGTGAGCCCAAAACGTTTTTCTGCTCTCAGGGAGCTGGAGGAGGGGGTGATAGAAGTGAGGTGGTGCATTCTCTTCCCTGTGCTCTGACTGCCTGGGCAATCTTTAGACAGTCACTCAGACACACTCTCAGCTTCCACCAAAGCGATGTGGGAGTACAGGGGTCCCCCAAGGCAGCCACGGGCCAAGTGAGCAGCTACTTCTAGGCTGTGTCACCCTAGAGTCTCTGCCCAGCACCCTCTGAATGACTCCTTCAAGATCCCCCACCCTAATCAAACCAAGACGGAATTGCCCCCCAATACAAATCAAGCCAAGCTGTTTTTCAAGAAAGTAATTGTAGCTAAACCTGAAACCTGAACCTGAAAACCCAGCTACCAGGTCACCTGTTTTGTCCTGAGGGCTGACCTAGGTCCAGGTTCAGCAAACTTATGCCAAGGGAGGTATTTCAGATGTCAAATCACTGGTCAGAGTGCAACTGAAAGCATCTTGCAGTCAAAGGCGAGGTGACCCACTCCCACCTCTCCCCGCCCAGGTACCCCCACCCCCACTCTGCGTCTTATGCAGGCCTTGGGCAGTCAAGGCCTGGCGGAGCCCCACCCTGCACAGCTGCAAATATTTATAGCCATGTCCCTTTTCCAGCCCTGTCGAGGGTTCTGCTGTGCTTGCTCCCTAGCTCTGTGAACACCCTGCTGAGAATTCAAATCTGGGCCATCAAGAAGTTCAGGAACAAGTCTCCCAAAAAAACTGAAATTGTACTGCTCTAATGTTAAAGTCACCTTTTGCATTTCTCTGGCTAGGAGTGAGGGGAACTGGGAAGAATGAATTCCTGACACACCTTTCTTTGGGTTTTTTTTGGCTTTTGCAGTGCCTGCATCTACCTACAGCCCGTCCCCAGGGGCCAATTACAGTCCCACTCCCTACACCCCCTCCCCTGCCCCTGCCTACACCCCCTCCCCTGCCCCTGCCTACACCCCCTCACCTGTCCCCACCTACACTCCATCCCCAGCACCAGCCTATACCCCCTCACCTGCCCCCAACTATAACCCTGCACCCTCGGTGGCCTACAGCGGGGGCCCTGCGGAGCCTGCCAGCCGTCCACCCTGGGTGACAGATGATAGCTTCTCCCAGAAGTTTGCCCCGGGCAAGAGCACCACCTCCATCAGCAAGCAGACCCTGCCCCGGGGAGGCCCAGCCTACACCCCAGCGGGTCCTCAGGTGCCACCACTTGCCAGGGGGACCGTCCAGAGGGCTGAGCGATTCCCAGCCAGCAGCCGGACTCCACTCTGCGGTCACTGCAACAATGTCATCCGGTATGGTCCAGCTGTGCCCCTGCACTGGGGCACTGGAAGGGCGTGTGTGTGGGGTGCTTGCCCACAGTCTGAGCCCTGGTTGGGAGAGATGGGGGTAGGAGGCAGGTGTAGGGAGAAAGCCTCGGGTCCTTCTGGCTTGCCATCTGGTCTTACCTCTCTGAGCCTTAGCTGCCATACCTGTGTGACACCCACTCTCCCAGGGAGCTGGGAGGAATGGCATGAGGTATGTGGGTGAAGCTCCAGCAGGATGCCTGGTGCCAGGAACTCCCCCTTGGGCTAAGGTTGAGGTCTGGGAATCACCAGGCTTGTCAGTAGGTTTACAGGGCATTTTGTTAGACAGTGTTGGTTTTGACCCAGTTTTCCTTTAGGGTTGTTTCTGGGTCTTTCCACAGACAGGCCTGGGCTGCTCAGGGGGTTGGTGGGCATCTGCCAGACTAAAATGAAAACAAGTGATTTCATACTTAGAAGCCATGGACCATGGGTGCTGTTGTTTGAATACAGTATGTTTGTGTGCATGTGTGGTGTGAGCTTATATACGTGAAAAATACACTTTTATTTAAAACTAAAGTAATACATACTCATTAGTGAAGAATTGGAAAACACAGAAAAGTAAAAATTAGAATATAAAAAAATGTCTTCATAGTCCCACTGTTCTGACTGCTAACCTGGAACTAGACAATACAAGTTTGTATCCTGGTCTACCACTTACTAGCCCTATGGCCTTAAACAAGTTGTTCAAACTCTGTGTGCCTCAATTCCCCTATCTAAAAATGGGTATTATAATAGTACCTAGTGCGTAGGATTGTTGTGAGAATTAAGCAAGTTAATAAATGCAAAAGTCTTCTTGAATAGAGCCTGACACAGAGTAATCACTTAATAAATGTTAGCCATCAGCATCATCATTATTGCATTTCTTACTATCATTATCAGTGGTCAACTGAATTCTATAATATGTTTACCCAGTCCCCTATTGGTAGATGTTTGAGTTGCTTCCTGATTTTCTTTATTGTAAGTGATGCAACAATGAACACCTTTCTGCATGGAGCTTTCTCTGAATTTCACATTACTTCATCAGAACAGTCACAAAAGTCAGAGTTATTGGGTAAAAGTATAAACAGTGTTGGGGTTCTTCAAATATCTAATTCCAAGTTCTGGGAGCTGCCTTACTGGGTGCCATTCTGTGCTTCCCCAGGGGCCCATTTCTGGTAGCCATGGGCCGTTCTTGGCACCCTGAAGAGTTCACCTGTGCCTACTGCAAGACTTCCCTGGCAGATGTGTGCTTTGTGGAAGAGCAGAACAACGTTTACTGTGAGCGATGTTATGAGCAATTCTTTGCCCCGCTGTGTGCCAAGTGCAACACCAAAATTATGGGGGTAAGTGGGAGGCCTCCATTTCCTCTGACCCATGTCTCTTCCCCAGCCCTTCCCCAAGATCGTGGGATCCCATTAGGAAGCCAAGAAGTTGCTGGTAACAGAGAAAGCAACTCCATTTTTATCCTAAAAGGGAATTGGTTTGCCACCAATAAACTTGGGGATAAATGAACTTGATGCAAGAGATGATTGTGTGCCTGTTCCACACAGCTTGAAGTGGTGGTGGAACTTCTGCAAAGCAAGTGGTTGCTTCACAGCCTGACCTTACCACTCACCAGAATGTGGCCTTAACCCTCAATGCCCCTTTGGTAAATGACAGTAATAAGCAGTACCTCCTCCCAGGTTTAATGGGAGGATTAAGCCTCACAGTTTATGTAAGAAAGCACAGAACCTGGCACCCAGCTGGAGAGTGACAACCCCTTCTCTGACACCCCTGGGTCTTTCTTCAGAGTGACCAAGGCCTGCATCCTGAGATCTCCTGCCCTGTTCCCTGGTAGGATGCTCGGGCAGTGGCTGGAGCCTGGTGGGGTAGTCAAGCCCGCTCCCTCTCTCCTTTCTGTCCTGAGCTTAGGCTCTTTCCCCCAGGAAGTAATGCATGCCTTGAGACAGACATGGCACACCACCTGCTTCGTCTGTGCGGCCTGCAAGAAGCCTTTTGGGAACAGCCTCTTCCACATGGAAGACGGGGAGCCCTACTGCGAGAAAGGTAGGAACACTTCGATGGCATGTGGGGAGGCCCCACAGCCTGGGAGAAAGGGGCAGGCACAGGGAACTAACTCCTGCCTAATCCATTCACATCCGACCACCCAGAGGCCTTTATTTCTGGAAGAAACCTTTGTTTTTGCTTTTAATGGCAGAATCATGCTAATATCACACAAAGGAAGTTAACTATCTCCCCTGCCCATATGGTTGCAGCTTTGGGGAGAGTGAGGTGCAGAGTCTATAGCTTATTTTATGCATCAAATATGTGGATCTGGTTAGGTGAGGTGGCTCACACCTTAATCCCAGCACTTTGGGAGGCCGAGACAGAAGAATTGCTTGAGCCCAGGAGTTTGACACCAGCAACATAGCAAGACCCAGTCTCTACAAAAAATATAAACATTAGCCAGGTGTGGTGGCGCGTGCCTGTAGTCTCAGCTACGCAGGAGGCTGAAGTGGGAGGGTCGCTTGAGTCCAGGAGTTCGAGGCTGCAGTAACCTGTGATAGCACCACTGTATTCAGCCTAGGCAACAGAGTAAGATCCTGTATCTCAAAAAAAAAAAAAAATGTAGATCACAAGTTGGCATCTTATGACCACTGGGAAACCTTTCAGGTTATTTTGATTTGGAGACCACAAGGTCTAGTCTGAAAAGGCCTTGGCTGTGGACTTTGTCCTTCATTCTATTCCTGGTTCCACTTTGGGCTGCTTTGTAAACCTGAGCAAGTTACTAACCTTCTCTGAGCCTTACTTTCCTCGTCTGTAAACACCTGCCTTACAGAGCTGTGGTGAGGATTAAACCAGAGAAGGCGTGTAGAGCATCAAATATGCGAGACCCCTTCCTCTGCCCCTGTGATATTTATCAGACTTTGATGTTCCTGCAGATTCCTGTAATCTCACGGAGTGAATTCAGAGTTTCTCTGTACCCCCAAAATGCTATATGTTATCTTAAAATGCTAAGTAAATTATTGTAAATTCAAGAGACAAAGCACTTCATTAGATAGGTGGAAGTCAGTCACTCATTTATTCAGAGGCTTCCCCCTTCAGAAAGGATTTGAAGCAGGTTCCAGAAAAGGTAACACAGACATGAAGGCTAAGACAGTAGAACCAGAAAATCAGAGGCGGGAAAAGCAGGCATGCTGATTATGAAGAATAACAGAGCTGCAGGGACTAACTGGGTAGCAAATTTGAGGGCAAAAAGAGAAACACAGTAAGTTAGTTTACTTTAAAATCAGAAAGGAGAAAACATTCAGTTCCTCAAGGGAAAAAGCAAAACAAAATAAAACTTCTTTCCCCTGACTGTAAATTAGAAAATAAACGTTTTGGCTGGGCGCGGTGGCTCACGCCTGTAATCCCAGCACTTTGAGAGGCCAAGGCAGGCGAATCACCTGAGGTCAGGAGTTCAAGACCAGCCTGGCCAAAATGGTGAAACCCCATCTCTACAAAAATACGAAAATTAGCCGAGCATGATGGCGGGCGTCTGTAATCCCAGCTACTCGGGAGGCTGAGGTTGAAGAATCGCTTGAACCCGGGAGGCAGAGGTTGCAGTGAGCTGAGATACTGCCGTTGCACTCCAGCCTGGGCAACACAGTAAGACTCCATCTGAAAAAAAAAAGAAAGAAAGAAAAGAAACGTCTTGGGTTCTTGTACTAGTGAATGCCCTTCCCAGCTCTGAAGTTAACTGAATGACCTGAAACAAGTCACTTACTCTGTGCCTCAGTTTCTATATCTGTAAAAGGGAGAAGATAATACCAGACCTTTCCTTTCTCATGAGCATATGATATTGATCGGTAGTTAAAGAAAGAGCTGTTATGCTTATACAACTTGCTGTTATTCTTCTACTAAAAGCATTATAACTTCTATTATTTGAGATAAGCCGCAATTTGTGTCTGAGGCTTTTGAAAGAATGATAGATTTCCATTATCACTGCTGCCCCTCATCATAGCAACTCCCCCGAAAAGATTCTCAAAAATGATGTTTTGAGTAAGAAGATCCAGGAAGAAGACGGTCTAGTGTTAAGAGAAGACAGTGAGGAAGCAGATTTACCTTCAGACCTAGGTAACTGGAGAGACCCAGTTGATCCTCCCACCTCAGCCTGTAGATGGAACTTTAGACATCCGCTACCATGCCTAGCTAATTTTCATCATTTTTTGTAGAGATGAGGTCTTGCTATGTTGCCCAGGCTGGTCTTGAAATCCAGGGCTCAAGCAATCCTCCTGCCTTGGCCTCCTGAAGTGCTGGGATTACAGGCATGAGCCACCGTGCCTATTTTTGATTCTGTTCTATTTTTGATTTTGTAAGGAACCTCATACTGTTTTCCATAACGGCTGCACTGTGTTACAAACCCATTAACAGAGAATAAAGGTTCCAATTTCTCCGCAGCCTTGCAAACACTTGTTATTTTCTGTTTTTTAAAAAATAGTAGCTATCCTAACGGGTATGAGGTGAAACTTCATTTTTACGTCTCGTCATTTTAATCAACAATTTGGAAGAAGACACAGAAGGGAGTCCTGTCAAATCTGCAGATTGAGCCAGAATGATAGGGTCTAGGCTGAAAAATGCTTCAGCTGGCTGCAAAGATAAGCTGACATCTGCATATAAAGAAGAGAGATAGGTGGGTCAGCCCTTCACAGATGAACCTGCACCCGAGCAGTTCCCAAACCTGGCATCATGGTCACCTAGGGAACTTAACAAACTAGAGAGAAAATAGATTGTTTCAGACCTACCTCAGACCCACAGAAGCAGCATTTCGTAGGGTGCCCCACCCTACCCAGGTGTTTCAGTTAGGTGTGGGAATCAGAAGTGTTTCTCAAAGTGTGGTCCCAACACCAGCAGCAACATCACCTGAGAACTTGTTAGAAATGCAGATCTTCAGGCCCCACCCCAGATCTGGTGAATCAGAAACTCTGGAGGGGAGCCTGGCACGCTGTGTTTCAACAAACCCTCCATGTGCTTCTGATGTTTGGGAACCATTGCTCTAGAAAAGTACCAAGCCCCTTTTCAACACAGAGCACCTGCAATTTGATGGACAGAAATCCTTTTACAATAGCAATAAAATCCATTAAATGTGAGGGTAGTAATTCAGCTTGGGACAAGAGAGAGTCAAAGAAAATTAGAAAGACTTAAAGGGAGAAATAAAGGAAGGAATAAATATATGAGGAGCTAGATTATACTCCTTGTGGAAAAGGCCCATGCACAGACTTTGTTCGGTACCAGCAATGTTCTCCTTTTGCAGAAATAACTTTTGCAGAAGTTGTGAAGAAAAATACCAACTTAAACAAAAATGTGTTAGTATCAGACCCATGCTACCAAATTTTAAAACAAAGCGATAATTCTCCAAATCATATGGAATCAAATTTAAAACAGAAAAATGAATCAGTGGGCAAGACAAGGCATTCCAGAGGTAAATTCAAGCCTTTGTTTTGTTTTGTTTTGTTTTTGAGACGGAGTCTCGCTCTGTTGCCCAGGCTGGAGTGCAGTGGCGCGATCTTGGCTCACTGCAAGCTCCGCCTCTGGGGTTCATGCAATTCTCCTGCCTCAGCCTCCCAAGTAGCTGGGACTACAGGCTCCCACCACTGCACCCAGCTAATTTTTTGTATTTTTGGTAGAGACAGGGTTTCACCATGTTAGCCAGGATGGTCTCGATCTCCTGATCTCGTGATCCGCCCACCTTGGCCTCCCAAAGTGCTGGGATTACAGGCGTGAGCCACCGTGCCTGGCCTTTTTTTTTTTTTTTTTTTTTTTTGAGACAGAGTCTTGCTCTGTCACCCAGGCTGGAGTACAGTGGCATGCTATCTTGACTCACTGCAACCTCCGCCTTCTGGGTTCAAGCAATTCTCTGTCTCAGCCTCCCAAGTAGCTGGGATTACAGGCTCCCACCAACACGCCTGGCTAATTTTTATATTATTAGTAGAGATGGGGGATTTCACCATCTTGGCCAGGCTGGTCTTGAACTCCTGACCTCGTGATCTACCTGCCTCGACCTCCCAAAGTGCTGGGATTACAGGCGTGAGCCACCGCACCTGGCCAATTCAAGCCACTTTAATAGCTTAATCTGTGAAAAGCCAGTAAGAGAAGGAATCACTATTTAATTAGGTTGTTTGAACCATTTAATTTAATTTTTATATTTATTTAAATATGGAACACAGCCCAGCTTGGTGGCTCACGCCTGTAATCATAGTACTTTAGGAGGCCAAGGCAGGAGGACCCCTTGAGCCCAGGAGTTCAAGAACAGCTTGGACAATATAGGGAGACCCCATCTCTAAAACAAAAAAAAATTAAAGTAGCCGACCGTGGTGGTGCACACCTGTGGTCCCAGCTGCTCAGGAGCCTGAGGTGGGAGGATGGTTTGAGCCCAGGAAGTTGAGGTTGCAGTGAACTGTGACCACATCATTGCACTCCATCCTGTGTGACAGAGCAAGACTCAATCTAAAAAAAAAAAAAAAAAAAAAAAAAAGGAGATGATGGATGAATGGATAGGATGCATGGATAAATGGAGGAGGGAAGGCCAGGGAAAGCCTTCAGCAAGGCCATCTCATCACTCTTGGTTGGGGTATGTAGGGCATGAAGACTTCCCTGAAGGACAGCCTAGCACAAAGGATTGCAGAGATTCTCTCAGGTACAGAAAGTGGGGATGGTTTTTCAAGCCCAGGGCCTGGTTTGCACAGAGGCATGGAGGTGTAAGAGAAAGTCCAGGGCACCATGAGACCACCTGGGAGTGATGAGAAAGAAGTCGTAAGTGGGTGCAGGGCTTGTCCTCAGGTGGAGACGGGTCAGCCCATACCAGATAGTAGTAAGTTCTTGCAGAGCACAGAGTGAACTGCAACCTGGGCGGTAACTTTCTAAAGGAAGCAGAACGATGTTTTCTTAGCTCTGGCAAGGCAATGCATTTCTGCCTACTAAAGAAATTAAGTGTTCCATCAGAGAAGATTGATGGACTGGGATACATAAGAGCATTTGCATGACAAGCTACAATTAAGCACAAAAGGGGAAGCTATATATTGGAAAACACATGCAAGAGATAAGTGTAACTGATCAAAGCTCAATGCCATGCTGATAAGGAGCTGGAGACAGCGTAAAGCCATAGAAGGAGGATGAACATTGGAGTCCATCAGGACTGGGGCTACTCCTTATGACTTCTGTGATGGAACCTCTCCAGTCAGTTTCCTCCCCTTTAAAATTGGAATACTAGGCTGGGCGCGGTGGCTCATGCCTGTAATCCCAGCACTTTGGGAGGCCGAGGCAGGTGGATCACTTGAGGTCAGGAGTTCAAGACCAGCCTGGCCAAAATGGTGAAACCCCGTCTCTACTGAAAATACAAAAATTAGCCAGGCGTGGTGGCACATGCCTGCAATCCCAGCTACTTGGGAGGCTGAGGTGGGAGAACTGCTTGAACCCTGGGAGGCAGAGGTTGCAGTGAGCTGAGATTGTGCCACTGCACTCCACCTGGGTGACAGAGTGAGAGTCCACCTCAAAAAATAAATAGGCTGGGCGCGGTGGCTCACGCCTGTAATCCCAGAACTTTGGGAGGCAGAGGCAGGTGGATCACAGGGTCAAGAGATCGAGACCATCCTGGCCAACATGGTGAAGCCCCATCTCTACTAAAAATAAAAAAATATAGCTGGGTGTGGTGGCGCGTGCCTGCCCTCCCAGCTACTTGGGAGGCTGAGGCAGGAGAATTGCTTGAACCCAGGAGGCGGAGGTTGCAGTGAGCCGACATCATGCCACTGCACTCCATCCTGGTGACAGAGTGAGACTCCGTCGCAAAAAAAAATAAAAATAAAAAATAAATAAATAAATAAATAAAATAAATAGATAAATAAATAGGGAATATTATCTCTTCACAGAGATGTCATGAGGATTAAACAGGAGGCATAATGGCACTCAAATCATTGTTCCTTTCCCTCTTTGCATCAGTTATGAAGACTTTCAAAATAAGAGCCAACATTTTTGAGTGTTTGTGCCAAATACTTCACTTACATTATCTTATTTAATCCACTCAAAACCCCATGAGTTCGGTACAATAATTATTCCCATTATATAGATGAGAAGGTTGAGGCCTTGAGAAGTTACGCCACTTGCCCCAGGTTTGAACATTTCTTAATAGAGTTGGGATTTGAACCCAGCTCTTCCTTTATTCAGAGTCCAATTTTGTAACCCCCATGGCACACTGGCACTCAGTAAGACGTGGTCTAAGACAATGAATGGACATACTATCCACAAGAAGAACAGGAAATCACTTAAGAAAAAGCCAACTGTGGAAGAGTTATGGAGGAATGCGTACACTTCTCAGGAGGGATGAAGGCTTTGTAAACGGGATGGAGCTTTTCTAGAATAATCTAGAGATGTTCTACAGTCAGTGTGGTAGAACTGTAGCCCCTTTGGGCCTAGAGAGGACAGCTGCCCTGGTGAAGGAGCACAGAACCTGACCCACTGTGCTTCAGCTGTGGGATGCTGGCTGGGCCCTTCACCTCTTTGAGTCTCAATTTTCTCATCCACAAAACAAAACAAAAAGATAATAATAGTTCAATTTCTGAGGGATTTTGTGATGATCAGTTTCATTCATTGATGAACTGATTGATTGGTTAATGCATTCATTCCCTATATATGTTTTGGATATTGACTGTGTGTCAGGCATTGTGCTGGGAGTGCAAAGAAAGCTAAGATGTAGTCCCTGACATTGACATACTTGTAAATAACACCATCCATGTGAAAATGCTTGGTAAATTGCAAAGCATCATATCAATAATATTTAATAGCATTATCTCCTTGGTTGGGGGTAGGGAAGGAGGAGGAGGACATGCCCCAATAAAGTAGTTCAAATACTGTTTATAGTAGTAAAAACTTGTTGTCAACACAAATGCCCCATGACAGAAGAATGGCCAAGCAAAGAAAATTCTATAACTCTTAAATACGTTGGACCCACATTCTTCCAAACTAAGCATAGATGTTTGGAAATGTGGATTGTTTTCTCTTTGGGGCTTGATCCGTTTGGTCTATTAGAGGTGACAGAAGCAGAGGAGACAATCTCCCTGCAGAAGGTTGATGACAATTCCAGAAAGTGTTTGCAAATCAAACCAGCACAAGATGGTGTCTAAGCCTGGGTCTGAACAACATCAATGCAATGATTGGAAAATGGAAAACTATCAGTCATGTAACTGAGTATTTCATCTGTGAGATGACAAACAACCAATTAGATTTCACCCCCTGCTTCTGCCCACTGATTTGGGGTTTGTCTTGGCTTTGGGTCCCCGCTGCCCCCACTGGGTGCGGGGTCTTCACTCTGCTTTTCATTTCAGACTACATCAATCTGTTCAGCACCAAGTGCCATGGCTGCGATTTCCCCGTGGAGGCTGGCGACAAGTTTATCGAAGCCCTGGGCCACACTTGGCACGACACCTGCTTCATTTGCGCAGTATGTCTCTAGCTTGGGGCTCTGGCTTTCTGAGAAGAGGCAGGAGGGAGGAAGTGGGAGCCAGATGACCAACCTCTACATACCTTGCCACGCTAGCTTTCTGACATCCTGATCATTTTTAAAAGCTGGCAAACACCATGATGCCTCGATACATCACAGTCGAACAAAGTTTCATTCCTAATAATTATTTATAAACCAATGTGGCTTTGTTACTTTCCATTTCGTTAAGGACAACAGAGTGTCCCAGGGTTTGGCAAACCAGCGGCTTGTCTCACCAGCAGTGTTGTCAGCGGGCAAAAGCAGCAGATGATGCTTGGCTTTGAGAGGGGCAGTTGGCTTCCCATGGTTATATGTCACTTCAGATATGATGGAGTGACTTGAAGGTTTTCCCCTCCAAATTGTTACCCCAAACACTAGATTGGAGCTGACTAATCCTATGAAAAGCTGAGATAGGGTTTCTCTTGGTAGCACCTTTGGAAAGCAAGACTGAGTACCATTTTATTTTCCTAAGTGGTCCTTTCCTGATATATAGCTGCCAGGAGATAAGCCCTGGATTAACTATTAACTGTGTGCTACTTATTTCTGCTGAACAGCCGGGTCACTTTTAGTATGAGACTGGCATTTTCCTTCTGAGGGTTTTGGGTTGGGGTGGGCACATGATGGTGAGCCTACAGACATTTAGACTCTGAAGGAGAGGTAGGAAACAGTCATCCCTGAGAAAGCCCCCTAATGTCAATCTGTCATTGCCTAATCTCGATTTGAGAATTTTTTTTTTTTTTTTTTTGAGATAGAGTTTCTGCTCTTGTTGCCCAGGCTGGAGTACAGTGGCATGATCTCGGTTCATTGCAACCTCTGCCTCCTGGGTTCAAGCGATTCTTCTGCTTTAGCCTCCTGAGTAGCTGGGACTACAGGCACATGCCACCATGCCTGGCTAATTTTGTGTATTTTTAGTAGAGAGGGGATTTCACCATGTTGGCCAGACTGGTCTCAAACTCCTGACCTCAGGTGATTCACCCACCTTGGCCTCCCCAAGTTGTGGGAATACAGGCGTGAGCCACCACGCCTGGCTGATTTGGGAAAATTAAGACACCTCTACTATTTTTTTTTTAACCAGAGTGTCTCAAGGTAAATTTTGGAAATGTATGAAATATCTGTACAGTTTTTACTTGAATAATTTTTATAGACTTCTGACATAGGATGACCCTAGTCATAAAGTTTACGGCCATATACTTTTGGTTCCACACTTCGCTTCCATACCCCGCCATCTGTGGGACACACTGTATTCACTCTGTGTGTCGGTTTGCTAGGGCTGTCTTGACAAATTACTGCAAACTGATGGCTCAAACAACAGAAATGAATGCTTTCACAGTTCAGGAGGCCAGAAGTCCTAAATCAAGGTGCTGACAGGAGGCCATAGTCTCTCTCCGAGCTACTAGCGGTTGCTAGCAATCCTTGGCATTTCTTGGCTTGCAGCTGTGTAACTCCAATCCCTGCCTCCATTGTCACAAGCCTGTCTCCCCTCTGTGTGTGTCTTCACATGACATTCTCCTCTGAGTGTGTCTGTCTCTGTGTGGGTCTCCTTTTTTTTTTTATTTTTTTTTTGAGATGGAGTTTCCCTCTTGTTGCCCAGGCTGGGGTGCAATGGCGTGATCACAGCTCACGGCAAACTCTGCCTTCTTGCACGTGAATTTTGTGGAATACAATTCAACCCCTTAACACTCTGATTTTCTAGCTCTTTGAACAGATTCTCTAGTTGTCTTTTAGGGTGTTTTAAATACATCCCCTCCAAAAAGAGACAATGGTGTAAGTATACTGGCTTTGGGTTTGTCCCCTGCAGAGTCATAGCTCCCCTGTGTCAGGCACAGCACAGGGGTCTCTGAACCTTACATTCAAGCCATGGCTTGTCTAGTCCTGAGGCACTGCCTGCACATCTGGTTACCCAACTTCTGGAAGGATCCAAGAGACTTGGGGAAGGTCCAGGAAGACAGTGGCACAGAAGGCCTGTTTTCCATGGGCAGGCTGATGAGAGGTCTGTGTCACATGCAGAGGGAATCGTGGCAAAGGTGAGTGTGGGTCTGCTTCTGCAAGCCTCGCAATTTCAGCTGAGTCACAACAGCAAAAGTCCAAGAGAGAGACCAGAAGAAGGCGTAAAGCTTGGGGTGGCTAAGGCTGATATTACAAATAAGTTCCAGAGAGTGAAGTCCAGCCTGTGAGAGGCCCATAGCACTGCCCTTTAGAGGATCAACATGGAGATCGTTAGGTCTCCCTCCAAACCAGCCTGCATGATACTCACTGCTCTGTCAACATATAGCAAAGTGGAACATGGTTCTTTTGTTTTTTTTTTTTTTTGAGACAAAGTCTTGCTCTGTCGCCAGGCTGGAGTGCAGTGGTGCGATCTTGGCTCACTGCAACCTCCACCTCCCAGGTTCAAGCAATTCTCTGCCTCAGGCTCCTGAGTAGCTGGGATTATAGGCGCCTGCCACCACACCTGGCTAATTTTTGTATTTTTAGTAGAGACGGGGTTTCACCATCTTGGCCAGGCTGGTCTTGAACTCCTGACCTCATGAGCCACCCACCTCGGCCTCCCAAAGTGCTGGGATTACAGGTGTGAGCCACCACACCCAGCCGGAACATGGTCTTAACATTAGGAAGAAATCTTTTGATTGGAAAACTTTGAGGGACTTGAGGGATTTTTTTTTTTTTGGTCCTCTTTCTATCACTTCATATTTCCAAATCACTTTTGATGAGCATGTATTTTCCTGTAACTTCCAAAAAATTAGTAAGAGAAAGATCTGGGGTAGCTCTCCCAGCTGATGTGCTGTTTTCTAACCAGTGAGATCTCAGGATAGCACATTCTTTAGACTAACTCAGTTTACCAAATATTCCTGGCATTTGGGCAGTACAAGAGTGTTCCAGAACAAGTCTCTACCCTGACGGAATCTAGAATCTTGAAAGGTGAACAAAGCAACAGATGTGAGCAATTCAAAAGTAGAACAGGACAGTATCCCTCAAGTCCAAAGCATATAAAGTGAAGGCTGGGAGCCTGAGAAGTGCACTGTGGGTCAGGGTGAAAGTTAAGCTTCTGTCTGGCGTCGACACTTGAGTTCCAATGGAAAGGGTCCGACCTTAGTGGAGGAAAAATGTCTTACCCATCCCTCTTTTGCTCTAAGTCTTGCCCTTCCCCACTGGTGTGGGTATCAGGAGGGGATGGGCAGTAATATAACTTTTGTAGGCAGACCTAGGGGCTGCTGCAGCTGGCCTAGTTTATTACCCTAACTCTGCTGGGACTTGCAGTCAGCACTGTCCATGGTCGCTACCCTTTTATAGCCAGGCCCTGATGTCACCCAGCCACAGAGCCTGGGGGTTGGACCATCCCTGTTGCCCCCTGTGCTGGGTGGGCAGAAGGCCTCCTCCACTATGAAGCCACCTTGCACCAAGAAGACACTGGGCACAACTCCTTATGAGGGTTCCCACCCTCAGCCCCATCTCACCTATGAGCCATCTTTGAGGTTCTGTCCCTTTCTCATTTGTTGGTCTTCAGTCCCTGGACACCTTCTCTCCCCAGCCTGACTCATCCCAAAGTTCTCACAAGCAACCAGCATTGTCCCAGTCCAGGTATGGTCTCCCACCCACAGCTGCAGTCATTGACAGGCTGACTCATTCCAGAGATGCCTTTCTGTCTTCCCTAAAGCCCATTCTCACCAGTTAGATCTTGGATGTCCATCTTTTTGCATAGTCTTTAAATTGTCACCAGCAGCTTGAGGCCTCCACACGAGCCTGGTTATACTCAGCATCACTGCATCCACCTGGGATGTTTTCAAACACTTTTGCAGCTCATTGGCTCCCAGAACCCAATTGGAAGCCCTGTGTGATCCTAGGTATAACGTCCCCAACTGGACCATCAGAGCCTTGCACATGGGGCTAGCGTGGTGCCCTTTTCCTCTCCAACTCTCTTGGACTGAATACATGCATATTGCCCCAAGCTCAACTCAAGGGGGTGATTTCTCTGTCTCCATGGGGGATACCTGTATGTGGGGACTCCACGTGCACTCCTCTTGATGTCAGTGTCCTGGAGATGGCTCCCAATTCTGCCCCCCAGCAGGGATCTTCACTGCCCTCTCCTAAGCTGGGACCCATGCCAGCCAATGTGATTTCCTGGCAGACTCTGACCTACTGGCATATTGCCAACCCAGGGCCCAGCTTACATACTAGTAGTCCAGCAAACTCAGAGGGCTACATCTGTACAAACCCATGAACCCAGATCAATTTCAAGTAAACACAGTCCCTTTCTTCTATGGGGTAGGGGAAAAATTAGCATAGAACTGGAGTCTTACAGACATGGACAGAGATTCCCAGCCTACAACTTACTAGGTCTGTGACTTAAGGAAGACGTATGGGCCCTCTGAGCCCCAGTTTTTTCAGCTGTGAAGTGGGAGAAAGGCTTACCTACCTTATAAGGTTTTCATGAGAATTAAATGAGCTGCTGTATATAGAGTGTCTGGCATCCTGCTTGGTCCATGGTAGTCCCCACAAATATTAATTAGTTCTCTTCTTTCTGGGATGCCTCCAGCCTCAGACTATATGTTGTCATCATGGGGATATAGAATTTCATCTCTTGGGCTGGGCGTGGTGGCTCACGCCTGTAATCCCAGCACTTTGGGAGGCCAAAGCAGGTGGATTGCTTGGGGTCAGGAGTTTGAAACCAGCCTGGCCAACATGGTGAAACCCTGTCTCTACTAAACTACAAAAAAAATTAGCTGAGTATGGTGGTGGGCGCCTGTAATCCCAGCTACTAGGGAGGCTGAGGCAGGAGAATTGCTTGAACCCGGGAGGCAGAGGTTGCAGTGAGCTGAGATCGCGCCACTGCACTCCAGCCTGGGTGACAGAGTGAGACTCCATCTCAAAAAAAAAAAAAAGAATTTCATCTCTTTTGTTTTTTTGTATATTTCTCTGCATACTTTTCCATATCTACCTTTTTTTTTTTTTTTTTGAGACGGAATCTCGCTCTGTCGCCCAGGCTTGGGTACAGTGGCATGATCTCAGCTCACTGAAACCTCCGTCTTCCGGGTTCAAGTGATTCTCCTGCCTCAGCCTCCTGAGTAGCTGGGATTACCAGTGCGCACCACCACACCCGGCTAATTTTTGTATTTTTAGTAGAGACAAGGTTTCACCATGTTGGTCAGGCTGATCTCAAACTCCTGATCTCGTGGTCCTCCTGCCTCGGCCTTCCAAAATGCTGGGATTGCAGGCGTGAGCCACCATGCCTGGCCCATCTCTCTTTTTAAATGGTGGCATTCCATTGGAAAAATACACCATGAAAATTTACTGAATCATCTTCCTATTGAGAGAAATTTTACTAGTTTTCAGTTTCTAGTTGAGCACAGGTTGTTTTGTTGTTCTGCAGAGTTGCTTCTGCAGGATAAAATTCTCTAGCGTGGCATTACTGGGTTACAGGGTAGTCACATCTCAATGGTTCTTGTTCAACATGGCCAGATTCCCTATGGAACACTGAGCTCACTCACATGTCTCTAGCAGTGCACGAGTAGGCCTTGTTCCTTTTTGGCATTGCTGATTTTTGATTGAATACTTTTTTTTTTTTTAAGCTTTTTGGCTACAGGCATATTAGGTTAAAGGTGACAGGCCATTGAGGTTTTTTTGTTTTATTTGTCTTGCTAGATTAATATGTGTCTAGTGGTATCTCAGGGCAGTTTTTCTTGTAATTTTTTTAACTAATTTTCTTTTCTTTCTTTCTTTTTCTTTTTTTTTTTTTTTGGTAGAGACAGAGGCTCACTATGTTGCCCAGGCTGGTCTCAAACACCTGGCCTCAAACGATCCTCCTGCCTTGGCCTTCCAAAGTGTAGGGATTACAGGCATCAGCTACTGCGCCTGGAGTCAGGGGAGTTTTAATTTGCTTTTTCTTTAATTATTAGTGAGTACAATCTTCTCTGATGTGTTTGTTAGTTTACTAATGATTTTCTTTAGACGTGAATCCTCTCTGTGGTATATTGACTTGTGAACTTGTATTGACTCTATTCATGCTATTTTAGATAGCATGAATTGGTCAGCTTCATAGTGTATATTTTCTCTATTCCATTAAATTTAATTAATTTCATTTGATTTTATTCTGTTCTTCAGGAATCTTAGTTTTTATATAGTCCAACTCATGTACTCTGCTTCCGTCATTAAGAATTCATAGTGGGAGAAATAGGCTGTTGCCTTTTCTCTAGAATGCATGGGGCAAGGCTGTTTGTTTGTTTGTTTGTTTGCTTTAGACAGTCTTGCTATGTTGCCCAGGCTGGAGTGCAGTGGCACAATCACAGCTCACTGCAACCTCTGTCTCCCGGGTTCAAGAGATTCTTCTGCCTCAACCTCCCGAGTAGCTGGGATTACAGGCACATGGCAACATGCCCCTGGCTAATTTTTGTATTTTTAGTAGAGATGGAGTTTCGCCATGTTGGCCAGGCTGGTCTTGGACTCCTGACCTCAAGTGATCTGCCTGCCTTGGCCTTCCAAAGTGCTGGGATTACAGGACTGAGCCACCACGCCTGGCCAGGGCGTTTTCTTAAAAAAGTGATTGAAATCTGCTCATGCCCTGTGCCACGTGGGTCTCACGCAGGTCTGTTCTCTGCTCCAGGTCTGCCATGTGAATCTGGAGGGGCAGCCGTTCTACTCCAAGAAGGACAGACCCCTGTGCAAGAAGCACGCACACACCATCAACTTGTAGGCGGCCAAGGCCGCCTGTGCTGACGAGGCCCGGAGCTGCTCCTGCTGCTGGCAACAAAGGATTCGGGAGGCTGATGTTTCTTCTGAGGGGAATGGGGAGAGAGAGGAAGCGACTGAGCCCTTTGGAAGTATAATTTTAGGTTTTTTCTTCTGTACACAGATCGTGCATTTGCATAGTTCAGACTAGGAGCCAAATGAAGACTCAAAACCAAGCTAGTTATTAATCCAAGACTGGAATTGTACTTCAGACATTTAGAGCAGAATTCCAAGAACTCAAAAGTGAAAAGCAACAAGCAGCTTTCCCAAAGCGATACACTTGCTTTGGTCACCAGAGGAGGACAGAGCTTAGAGCAGCTGTGGAGAATCTGAAGCATTCTGCGGAGTTCTTAAGCGCTCCCCTGGCAAACAAATTGAAGTGCCAAACAGCACTCGCTGCAGGGTATTTTTAGAGTCATAGCTGAGAGCTTGTTAGCTAAGACCCATTGGGCTTTCCTCACCAAAAAAGGAAGTGTTATTCCATTACTAGCGTCATGGAGCTACCTCTGCGCATCAGACTTCAGACCTTGAACAAACTTAAAACCTTCTTGGGAGCCCGGACGTCCAAAGAGATGTCTTCTGGGAGCCACTGGGCAATTGCCAGGGCTCCAGGAAGGGCTCTGGCTCAGGTTGCAGACAGCTGAGAAAAGATGGCCCTGTCAGCCACCCTCTCTCAGTCTGAAACATCCAACATCCCCAGAAGGCTTAGCTCCTTTTTGAATTGTGATGGGAAAGTAGAGTTGGGTTTTTCCAGTTTTGCTCTGTGGTGTGTGAGAGATTTTTTTAAAGGCTTTGGGTTGTCTTTGGCCTTTGTTTAGCTTTAAGGGTTCGTTAGCATGAGTGTCCAGTCGTGTGCATGAATTTCACCCCAACTTGTGACTGCTCACTTATGACGTCTCCCCCAGTACCCTCCATCTCAAATAGGCTTGGTGGCCTGTGGAAAAGAAGAGAGACAGAGAGACAGTGTCTGAAACAGGATGGCAGAATAGGCTCACATGCCCAAACTCTGGGTGGGGAAGAGGAAACTTACTTTCTGCCACCCTCAGTAAGAACACACGAGGAGGCAGGACCTCCCACCTTCAGGTCTGCATCATCCTTTTCAAATGTTCCTTTAAATGCAGCACACTGAGTTTGTACAATTGTGTTAACTGCTGGAAGGGACAGATGCACTGATATATATGCATTTGCTGTTTTGGCCAATATTTTGAAAATGTATGAGCTGAGTTGATCTAGCTATTATTTAAGTATTTATTGAAGTAGAGGGGCCTTCAAACTACTTTATACTAGTGATAGTTTGAGTTAGGTAAGCATCTTAAAGCTGTTTGGTGATAAAGAAGGCAGCTTAGATTCTGTGGTTGGAAACAGTGTAGTCGCTTCCCTTTTTAGGAAGCCCTGTTAATATGCTCATTGAAAACATGGCATTGAAGCAGGCACTTGCGTGGATGTTTCTCACTTGAGCACGATATTTAGGCTCTCTTCCAACTCACTCTATTCTGTCCTCACTCCTGTTTTGGATTTTTCTCTTTGCATGTTTGAAATGTTTTATGGGAATGTATTAGAACTCTTTTCTTCTAAGGACTGAGACTTCCAGGGGATTGCCATCTTACCTGTCTCTTCTCCATGAGGGAGAAGGAAGCAGCTAGCTATGTCCCTAGCTGCAGGAAGCCCCTATTTTTTCCAAGCACGAAGCCACCAGTCTCCCCCAGGGAGCATCAGGAAGGGACATGGATGTGCTCCTGCCACAGGGCCCTTCCTACCTTTGGATCTGTGAGAAGGTGAATACAAAGCAGCAGGCAGAGTAAAATCTGCTGGGACTGCCTGGAGATTTGTCAGGAGCTGCAGACAAGTACCTTGGAGCATTCTGTTATTTTTGGAAAGTTCAAATATGCAGGGACAAGGAGGTTGCTGACTGTACTGACAGGCTCTAAGTCATTTTCTCCAAAAACTATCTATTCAATTATCAGGGGCTGGTCTTGAGGAAGGAAAAAAAAAAAAAAACGTTCCCAGAATTCAGTTTCCAAAATCTCTTTTTAAAGGGTTTACACACACACACACACACACACACACACACACACACACACACACACACGATCATTAAAAAGTGTATGCTCTTTAAGAAGAAAAGTAAAATATCTCAAAGGACGGTTTCACCACCGTCCTTTATTGAATCAATTTTTCTACATTTCAGAGCAAGTGTAGATTCTGAGGGACTCCTATTTGCCAAAAAGACAAAACTAGCAAAAAAAAAACAAAAAAACAAAAAAAAAACCACTTAAAAGGTAGCAGGAAAAGAAGGTAGTTTTGAGTGTGGTTCACTCAGTGTCTGTGAGTCTGGTGTAGTGTCAGGAGTAAGGCCGTGTCTAGCTCAAGTTTACATTTGGATGTCCTACAACACTAAACAAAATTTTTCATAATCCATGGTGGGGAGCACACTTTGGAGCTACATTTCTTGTCTCCTCATTGTTGACATTAATTAAACATTTATAGGCCAGGCACAGTGGCTCACGCCTGTTATCCCAGCACTTTGGGAGGCCGAGGCAGGTGAATCACCTGAGGTCAGGAGTTTGAAACCAGCCTGGCCAATATGGTGAAACCCCATCTCTACTAAAAATACACAAAATTAGCCAGGTGTGGTGGCAGGCGCCTGTAGTTCCAGCTACTTGGGAGGCTGAGGCAGGAATCTCCTGAATCCTGGAGGCGGAGGTTGCAGTGAGCCGAGATTATGCCATTGCACTCCAGCCTGGGCAACAGGAGCGAAACTCCGTTGCAAAAAAAAAAAAAAAAAAAAAATTATAATCACAACTTTTTGCAATGGAGTGACTTATATCTGCAGCTTATATCTGCAGTGTTTGTGTTAGGAACCTAGCTTTTATAATGTGTTAACTTTTTAACTCAGTATTCTGGCTTTGGGATTTTTTGTTTTGTTTTTGGAAACATTTCAGAAGTGGAATGTAGCCTGTTAAAGGTGTGCACAAAAATATTTTGCATGTGTTTTTTTTTTTGCCTGTGTGAATTCTACTTTTTAGCAAAAATAAAGCCCCCCAAAGGATGTGCAAATACAGATTTTTCTGTGTAAAATTTTTCATGTCACATCAGAAGTAGCTTACTTCTATATGGCCACAAATAAAAGTTGGAGACAAAACAAAACATTCTGTGGGAATAAACACAACTTGCTTGCCCTGATGCTCAATAGCAGTGTAATCACCATGTTTAAACAGACAAGGATATGTGAATAACACGAATGTTCTGCATACAAAGGGAATTACCAGGCAAATAATAAACCAAAGACCTCATCTCGCATTATATTTCCATAAAGGTTTGTTAACTTAGCTACTTGGCGGTAAAATATTTCCAATTAATTTATTTCTATTCTGCTCTAAATGGCTTCATTTCTAGAAAAGTTGCCATATTTCCTCTTACATCATTTGTTTTCAAATAAGTTCAGAGTAAAGACCTCTCATAGAATTTTTTTTTCTTTTTAATAATGAAGACCCTTCTGAGGGTACTATGTTTAACAAAATCAAACTCATTCTTTTTCAAGGTATTCTGTTTCTAGAAATTACTGAAGAGTAAAGGGAAGTTGTACATACCATATTTGATTTTCAGCACCTGAATCAGACTTCGAAAGAGCTGTGCAATTACAAACAGAAATCACATCTCATCATTTTAGTACTTCTTAAAGCTATAACAATTTTAAAAATAGATGATGGAGAAGAAAAGGCTCCTACACTCACTCACACACACACACACACACACACACACACACACACACACACACACAAAATACTAATAGCCCAGAAATATGAACCAAAAATTAGAATTTGGTATAATTAACTTGTACATAATTTCTGCCCCCCTAAGGATTTGTGGACAGAATAAATATTGTTTGCTTATTTGCTCATTCATTCTTTCAACAAATATTTATTGAGCACCTACTAGTGACATGAACAGGCACTGCTCTGGACACTGACAACACAACAGTGAGTACAGCAGACAAAAACTTCTGCTCTTGTGGAGTTTACTTTTTTTTTTTTTGACTTTTTTTTTTGAGACAAAGTCTCACTCTGTCTTCCAGGCTGGAGTGCAGTGGTGCAATCTTGGCTCACTGCAACCTCCACCTCCCACATTCAAGCGATTCTCCTGCCTCAACCTCCTGAGTAGCTGGAACTACAGGTGCCTGCCACCACATCCAGCTAATTTTTGTATTTTTAGTAGAGACAGGTTTCGCCATGTTGGCCACGCTGGTCTCAACTCCTGACCTCAAGAAATCTACCTGCCTTGGCCTCCCAGAGTGCTGGGATTACAGGAGTAAGCCACTGCACCCGGCCAACATTCTTTTTTTCAAAAAAAAGTTATTTATTTTTATTTATTTTATTAAAAAAAATTTTTTTGAAACAGAGTCTTACTCTGTCACCCAGGCTAGAGTGCAGTGGTGCAATCTCAGATCACTGCAACCTCCGCCTTCCGGGTTCAAGTGATTCTAGTGCCTCAGCCTCCTGAGTATCTGGAATTACAGGTGTGCACCACCATGCCCAGCTAATTTTTGTATTTTTAGAAAAGACAGTGTTTCGCCATGTTGGCCAGGCTGGTCTCAAACTCCTGACCTCAAGTGATCTGCCCGCCTCGGCCTACCAAAGTGCTGGGATTATAGGCATGAGCCACTGCGCCTGGCCTGCTTTCTTGTAAAAACAATTTATTTTATAACTATGAACTTCACTGTCTGATCCTAGTTAAGCCTCTATTAACACACATATGAAGGGTTATCTAAGAATAAAGATCATGTGTTAATCTATCTACTGAGCTTGTGGAATAAATCCTGCCATTAATTTTGTCAAGGCAATCAGTGACTTTCTGAGCCATCGGACAGAATGTCTTCAGTTCAGTGCTGTCCTCTGAGCCTCAGGCTCATGTGTCCAGATTTTGCCTCACTGCTTCACGTGGATGTCCCACAGCCACCCAAGCCCACCTACTTCACGGGCTGGATGGTTGGCCATCTGTATGTGCGTCTATCCTTTCTTCTGATACAGACCCTGCCCCTTTAGGTGCATGATTGGTTCAAGAAGTGGGTTTGTGAACCAAGCCAGAACAATCAGAATTCTTCTTCCCTGAGACTGCTAAAACCAGATCTTGGAGAGAGATTCTCTTCTCTTACTGGTGGCTGAGCTGGAAGAATGAGTCCAACAGGCCCTCTGTTCCCTCTTGTGTGAAGAAAGTCTGTTTACTCTAGGAGAGAAAGAAGCCAACAGGCACTGGAAAGCAAAGAGTTGAAATGAGAGAGACGGAGTGTTCTGCCAGTGTGATGGCTTCTGGATCTTGTCATTCCCAAGGCTCCACACTTATCTTTTCCTTTTGCTCAATTTCCCCTTTATTCTTTTTTTTTTTTTTTTTTTTTGAGACAGAGTCTCACTCTGTCACCCAGGCTGGAGTACAGTGGCGCCATCTTGGCTCAATGCAACCTCCACCTCCTGGGTTCAAGCAATACTCCTGCCTCAGCCTCCCAAGTAGCTGGGATTACAGCCATGCACCACCACACCTGGCTTATTTTTGTATTTTTAGTAGAGATGGGGTTTCACCATGTTGGCCAGGCTAATCTCGAACTCCTGACCTCAAGTGATCCACCCACCTCAGCTTCCCAAAGTGCTGGGATTACAGGCATGAGCCACCGCACCTGGCCTTCCCTTTATTCTTGACCTCGTTTAAATTGGGTTTCTGTCACTTGCAACCAAAAGAATCTCAACTAATACAACATCCAATGCCAAATTCAGGATGTGACATTCTGTCATCCATGCTATAGCTTCAAGAAGTATTAAAACAATAAGATGTGTTTTCTATTTGTAATTGCACAGCTCTTTCAAGGTCTGATTCAGGTGCTAAAAATCATACATGTTATGGAAAACTTCCTTTTACCTTTCAGTAATTCCTAGAAACAGATTACCTCGAAAAAGAATGAGTTTGATTTTGTTAAACATAGTACCCTCAGAAGGGTCTTCATTATTAAAAAGAAAAAAAAAATGCTATGAGAGGATTTTACCCTAAACTTATTTGAAAACAAATGATATAAAAGGAAATATAGCAACTTTTCTAGAAATGAAGTCATTTGGAGTAGAACAGAAATAAACTGAAATATTTGACCACCAAGTAGCTAAGCAAACCTTTAGAAAATATAATGCGAGACGAGGTCTTCAGTTTATTATTTGGCTGGTAAATTCCCTTTGAATGCAAAACATTTATGTTATTCATATATCCTTGTCTGCTTAAACAAGGTGATTAAACTTCTATTGAGAAGGCCTTCAAATAATCCGCCATCCATGCTATCATTTCTGAACATGCATGCTAAATAAATGCAGAATGCTTATAATTGTAACTATAATTTCAAGACAAATACCACATGCCTTCTGACTGAATCTCTTCCATAGAGGAATTCCAGGGCTGCCACTGACTTAGTTCTCCATCCTCCTAGCCAACCTGCTTCTCCTCTTGTATTCTTTCTTTCAGTGAATTGTAGGCACCACCCGGTCATTGAAACTAAATATCTGGGATCATCCTAGTGTCTTCTCCCATATTGCTCTGACAACAAATAACCACCACAGGCTGCCCATGTACTTCCTGAACCTGTCTTGAATTTGTTTTCTCCTCTCATCCTCAGGACTCCTGCCTTTAAAAAACATCTCTCCTCTGCATCATCTCAGCAGCTTCCTAACTGATCTCCTTGTCTCCATTTTGCTCCGTATCCACCCCCGAATCCGTTCCCATTCAGGATCTCTCCAAAAATAAATCTGACCATCTAATGGACCTGCACAACTTATAAATGTCTTCTCATTATCCCTCAACAGAGCCCAAACTAACCTGCATTTACAAGTCCCATATGCCAGGCCGCTGTGTCTCTCCAGCCTCACTTCTCAACCGCAAGTGCTACCTTCTCATGATGTGCCATCGTCCTGGCCACAGCGGGCCGGTGTTCCCACCTCGGTATTTCCAAAACACTCCTGTATTTTCACATTATTTAAAAACTGTCTGTTTACATAGAAATAACCATTTGGGTCGGGCTCGGTGGCTCATGCCTGTAACCCCAGCCCTTTGGGAGGCCGAGGAGGGTGGATCACCTGAGGTCGGGAGTTCGAGATTAGCCTGGCCAACATAGTGAAACCCCATCTCTACTAAAATACAAAATTAGCCGGGCGTGGTGGCGCATGCCTGTAATCCCAGCTACTTGGGAGGCTGAGGCAGGAGAATCACTTGAACCTGGGAGGCGGAGGTTGTGGTGAGCTGAGATTGCACCATTGCACTCCAGCCTGGGCAACAAGAGCAAAACTCCATCTCAAAAAAAAAAAAAAAACATAATTGAAATAACCAAAGAATGCCATAATTGTTATTGCTTAGCTGAGAACAAAGTGCTGTTTTTCACAAACAAATTCTATTCAAAACCCCAAATATTTTATTAAGTAAATTCTTACAGAATACCTTTCCATTTGCAAATCAGTTATTCCCTTTATCTAACTCTGGTTCAGAGTATAGTTCTCGCCTTTTTCCTTCTGCTTGTTTAAATTCGGTTGCTGTCACTTGCAACCAAAAGAATCTCAACTAATACAATGTCCAATGCTGAATTCAGGATGGGTATTATCCTGAATTCAGGGTATCCTGAAAACTATTTCAAATAGAAGCACTGGGAATGCAGGAGAATCCCAGCATTTGTGGAAGAAGGATCACTGCAAGGCATCCAATGTGTGCCTGGGGTAGAAGGAATGCCAGTGGTGATGGCAATTCTATCTTGCATGTGGTCACCTCCACATCCCTGCGGAGCCCCTCTCATCCTACTTGTGACTTTCTGGTGAGCTGCAGGAGAGGGAAGCATTGTAGAAAAGTAGATACAGATTGGAGAAGGGCCTGACTCAGCCTGGAATCCAGTGTTTTGTGGGGCCATCTTTAAGAAAAAGAATATATTTGGGAGGCTGAGGTGGGTGGATCACCTGAGGTCAGGAGCCCAAGACCAGCCTGACCAATATGGTGAAACCCTGTCTCTATGAAAAATACAAAAATTAGCTAAGTGTAGTGGTGTGTGCCTGTAATCTCAGCTACTCAGGAGGCTGAGATAGGAGAACTGCTTGAACCTGGGAGGTGGAGGTTGCAGTGAGCCAAGATCGTGCTACTACAGTCCAACCTGGGTGACAGAATGAGACTCCACCTCAAAAAAAAAAAAAAAAAAAAAGGAAAAGAAAAGAAAAAAAGAATATAAAATTAGCTGGGCGTGGCAGCATGCGACTGTGGTCCCAGCTATTCTGCAGGCCAGGGTGGGAGGATCGCTTGAGCCCAGGAGATGGAAGCTGCAGTGAGCTGTGATCACACCACTGCACTCTAGCCTGGGTGACAGAGTGAGACCTTGTTAAAAAAAAAAAAAAAAAAAAAGCTGGCAGGACGCGGCGGCTCACGCCTGTAATCCCAGCACTTTGGGAGGCCAAGGTGGGTGGATCATGAAGTCAGGAGTTCGAGACCAGCCTGACCAACATGGTGAAACCCCGTCTCTACTAAAAATACAAAAATTAGCCAGGCGTGGTGGCACGCGCCTGTAATTGCAGCTACTCGGGAGGCTGAGGCAGGAGAATTGCCCGAACCTGGGAGGCGGAGGTTGCAGTGAGCTGAGGTTGCACCACTACACTCCAGCCTAAGCGACAGAGTGAGACTCTGTCTCAAAAAAAAAAGAGAAAAAAGAAAGACAGAAAAGAAAAAAAGGGGTTACAGTAGCTGCAAACACCAAATGGAGTATTCATTTAGAATGAGGACAAAATCACAACAAATGAGTGGAGTCCCAGAACTCTAGGTCACTTTCTTCTAAAGCCTACTTAGGCAAGTTATCAGAAAAGCTTACATAACAGTGTTCCCTGGGCTGGGCGTGGTGGCTCACACCTGTAATCCCAGCACTTTGGGAGGCTGAGGTGGGTGGATCACCTGAGGTCAGGAGTTCGAGACCATCCTGGCCAACATGGTGAAACCCCATCTCTACTAAGAATACAAAAATTAGCCAGGTGTGGTGGTGCATGCCTGTAATCCCAGCTACTTGGGAGGCTGAGGCAGGAGAATCGCTTGGACCCAGGAGGCAGAGGTTGCAGTAAGGTGAGATTGCACCATTGCAGTTCAGCATGGGCAACAAGAGTGAAACGTCATCTCAAAAAAAAAAAAAAAAGTTCCCTGATTGCAAACTAGCTTTCCCTCTCAACCTAGAATATTCCAGCAACTCTTAGCACCCATGGGGGTCTTTGGAAGTGAGGGAGGAGCCTTGAAGTTTAAGCTGCATTAGTTTCTTGGTAAAGCTACTCTAGACTCAGGCCAATAGAATAAAAGACACAGCCATTTTGGGATCCTGATTCCCTGGTTCATGCTCTATGTTAGGAATTGGCAACATTTGTCCAGGACTGTTCCTGGAACCAGGGCCAAGACATGCCCTGGAATTGGGAGGGGAAATCAGATTACTGAGTGAGGCAAGGCTGGAAATGGCTCTGCAGCTCCCTCCTCCTAAGAAGCGGTTACCTCTCTCCACTTTCTAGTTGAATTATCCCTATAAGCCCAGGTTTAATGGGAAGGTAACCCAAAGAGTAAGCAAGCTGTTGAATGGTATGGTAATATGAGGTTGCGAGTTTAGGAGGAAAGATGGGGTGTTGCAGAAGCCCCAGGCAGTGGCTCAGACCTGAGCCATAGATACCAGGTCCTTTTTTAGTTGCTTGGAATGATTTAAATGACCAGGATAATGTCATAGTTTGTAGGTTAATAACCAGAATGTGACTTTAGAGGAAAGGAAACAAGTTTTCTTATTGTTTGCGTGTGTGTGTGCATGCACCTTCTATGCTTATGCACAGTGCTTGGCACTTTATGTATCTTTTCTCATTGAACTTCACAACTCTACCAGGTAAGGAAGCCAAGGTTTAGATAGGTAAAATACATCTCCCCAAAATACCTCTCTCCACTAGGCACTTGATGTGAAGTCCTTTCCTTTGTGGAAATACTATATTCATCAGAAGCACTGGGAGGAAGACAGAGTTGAGTTTAGTTCCACATTCATTGAGCCTTTACTTTGAGCAAGGCCTCATGCTAAGTAACTAAGTACTTTATTGTGAATTCAGAGGCAAATGAGGCACAATCCTTGCCTCACAGAGCTCATAGTCTGGTTGAGGAGATAATTAAGTTATGCATAATTTCACTATCATAAGGCAATAAACGTTTCTTCAACTTTATATAAAGCAGACCTACAAGCAAAGGACAGTAAACACATGTCCTCTAGGAGCTTTCTGCAATTGTAAAATTTCTCTTACAATCTAATATTTTAGCTTTAAAAATCATGCTCTGTTTTAAGTTATTATTATTAAAAAAAAAAAAGATGCCCTGGACGAGATGCTCTATAACCTTTTTCTTTTTTTTTTTTTTTTTTTCTTTTTTGAGACGGTGTCTGGATCTGTCGCCCAGGCTGGAGTGCAGTGGCGTGCTCTCAGCTCACTGCAACCTCCACCTCCCGGGTTCAAGCGATTCTCCTGCCTCAGCCTCCCAAGTAGCTGGGACTACAGGCACCCGCCACCACGCCTGGCTAATTTTTTTGTATTTTTAGTAGAGAAAGGGTTTCACCGTGTTAGCCAGGATGGTCTCAATCTCCTGACCTCGTGATCCGCCCGCCTTGGCCTCCCAAAGTGCTGGGATTACAGGCGTGAGCCACCTCGCCCGGCCTGCTCTATAACCTTTTGTACTCCACATTCAGTGTTAGGTGCCTCGGTTTGAGAAGCCGAAGGCCAGATAAGTGCTACAGGACAGCTCAGCAGGCCGCTAACCCGGCCTGGGAGTGGGCCGCCAAGGTTTTCTAGAGAAGGAAATTCCAGAGCTAAGGCTGGAATGAAGAACTGGAGCCCAGCCCAAGCTGAAGCAGAACTCATATACTAATTACTGAACTGCATTGGGCTGTATTTGAAGTAAGGCTCATTTAGAGTTTTACAGTTTGTTTTCTCTCCCCTTCAACACAAACACTAATGGACCAATCACTTTCTAGAAGGAAAAAGAAAGTAACTAAAATTCATTGAGTGCTGACTCTATGGCAATCACTTTGCATATATCTCAGTTAATTCTGACATCTGTCCCATGAGATTGGTATTATTTATTCCCATTTTATAGATGAAGAAACTGGGAGTCTAAGAGGCTGACAAACTCTGCCCAAGGTAAAAAACTGGGAAGTACAGCCAGGATTCTGATTGCAAAGTTCGTGTTCTTCCCACCACATCATGTGGCTAAGCCTGTTTCTCAAGAGTCTCTTTAGTGGATATGCAGAAGCAGTTAAGAAAATAGTGGGATTGGCCTCAAGTTTCAAGGAAGAAAAAACTCTTTGGCCATCTCTTTTGGTCAAAGAAAGTTCTGGAAAGGGGTTTCTGGGCTACTCCTCTGGCTGGCATTGCAGCGCCCTACCTCACCAAGCCAGCTCTGCTGAATCTGGACTTGGGGAAGTGAGAGTTCACAGGACATCCTCTGGGAGTGTCCGCTGAGGTCTGCTTTATACAGTTTATACTTTGCTGTAAACAGCTCGCTGTTCCCAATTAAACCTGTACGATCATGTGTGAACTTTTAGGAAATGAGGACTTCTTTTTATGGTTCTCTTCTCAGTGTTAAAACCAGAGCCCTTGTCAGTCCACGAGCCTCCTTAAACTGTTGGGCCTTGACTCTGAGACTCCGGAATGTAGTCCAGAAATGCTTGGATCCTGGCACAACACCCAGGGAATGCCTAAGTGAGAGGATGGCTCCAGGTCTGCAGCCATGTCTTCCAGAAGGATGTTCTCTGATTCTTCTCAGCAGGGTTCTAGGGCATCCCAAACACAGGTCTCTGATGCTATTCACGCTAGGATAGGGAATACAGATCTCTCAACTAAAATTGCTGCCTGAAGTAATTTTTGAAGAAACAGTATTTCAAAATGACTACCCTCTCTCTTAGAGAAAGAGTTGGTTGAAACCACTTTAATTTGAAATTGGGTAATAAAGAAATGAATGGGTTTAGCTCTCTTTAATGTTGACAAATTAAGAAAGGAATATGTGCTTATTAAATAAAATATGAAAAACACACATAGGCAGAAAGAAGAAAAAAAAGTGACCATAGTCCTACTACTGGGAGACAACCGCTACTTAGCATTTTGGCTAGTTTCTACCATTAAAAAAATTGTTTTTTTTGTTTTTGTTTTTGTTTTTTTTTGAGAGGGAGTCTCGCTCTGTCGCCCAGGCTGGAGTGCAGTGGTGCAGTCTTGGCTCACTGCAACCTCTGCCTCCCAGGTTCAAGCAATTCTCCTGCCTCCCGAGTAGCTGGGACTGCAGGTGCATGCCACCATGCCCAGCTAATTTTTATATTTTTAGTAGAGAGGGGGTTGCACCATGTTGGCCAGGATGGTCTCGATCTCCTGACCTCGTGATCCACCTGCCTCGGCCTCCCAAAGTGCTGGGATTACAGGCGTGAGGCACCATGCCCAGACAAAAAATTTGTTTTTTTAAAAGAATCGGCCGGATGCAGTGGCTCACGTCTGTAATCTCAGTACTTTGGGAGGCTGAGACAGGTGGATCACCTGAGATCAGGAGTCGAGACCAGCCTGGCCAACATGGCGAAACCCCATCTCTACTAAAAATACAAAATTAGCTGGGCGTGGTGGTGTGTGCCTATAATCCTTGCTACTCGGGAGGCTGAGGCAGGAGAATCGCTTGAACCCTGGAGACAGAGGTTGCAGTGAGCCAAGGTCGGGACACTGCACTCCAGCCTGGGTGACAGTGAGACTCCATCTCAAAAAACAAACAAAAAAATCGTAGTAAGAACACTTAATATAAACGGCAACTTTATATCCATTGAATAGCAACCCCGATTTCTGGTGCTCTGCATGTTTAGAGAAACTTCTCTAGTAGCAAACTACAGAAAAGATCCCTGAATGTGTGGGCTTTCTACCATTTATTTTTAACAGCGAGAACAAAGGCATCAATTCAGCCAATGGTTTCAGAACCTGTTCTTCTTTTTTTTTTTTCTCACTCCATCATCCAGACTGGAGTGCAGTGGTGCCAACATGGCTCACTGCAGCCTCCACCTCTCTGGCTCCAGCGATCCTCCCACCTCAGCCTCCTCAGTAGTTGGGACTACAGGTGTGTGCCACCATGCCTGGCTAATTTTTAGTATTTTTTGTAGAGAAGGGGTCCGCCTATGTTGCGCAGGCTTGTCTCAAACTCCTGGGCTCAAGCAATCCTCCCTCCTTAGCCTCCTGAATAGCTGGGACTACAGGTGTGTGCCACCATGCCCAGCTAATTTTTGGTATTTTTTGTAAAGAAGGGGTCTCCCTATGTCACCTAGGCTGGTCTCAAACTCCTGGCTCAAGCAATCCGCCTGCCTTAGCTTCCCAAAATGCTGGGATTACAGGTGTGAGCCACCATGCCCAGCCCATTTTCTTTTTTAAGGTGGCATTTTTTTTAGTTTTAATTTTTGTGGATATATATATATATATATTTTAAATGGGGTACATATTTTGATACAGGCATGCAGTTATAATAATCACATCACGGAAGCTGGGATATCCACCCCACAAGCATTTATCCTTTGTGTTACAAACAATCCAATTCTACTCTTTTGGTTGTTTAGATGCTTCATTTTCTTTGTTCCTTTTTTTTTTTTTGAGACAGAATCTCACTCTGTTGCCCAGGCTGGAGTGCAGTGGCGCGATCTTGGCTCACTGCAACCTCTGCCTCCTGGGTTCAAGAGATTCTCTTGCCTCAGCCTCTCAAGTAGCTGGGATTACAGGCGTGCGTCACCATGCCCAGCCAATTTTTATATTTTTAGTAGAGACGGGGTTTCACCATGTCGGCCAGGTTGGTCTTGAACTCCTGACCTCAGGTGATCTGCCCACCTTGGCCTCCCAAAGCGTTGGGATTACAGGCGTGAGCCACTGCACTTAGCTGAGATGCTGCATTTTCAATGCCAACCCCTCAATCCCTGCCCATTGTGTGCACTGAGACCATCAAGTGATTTTTTTATATATCCTTCATGTAGACCTGCACTGGCTAGTACATACAATAGCTGCTTGGCATGTGTGACTGTGTAAATTCTAAATTAGTTAAAAATAAATAAAAATCAAAATTCAGTTTCTCTGTTTAGCCATATCAAATGCTCAATAACCACATGAGATTAGGGGCTACTGTGTTGGAACAGGGAAGATACAGGACATTTTCATTTTCACTGAAAGTTCTATTAGACAGTGCTGGTGTAGATTCTGACCTGCTCAGCTCAGCCTTAAGAACAAAGTCTTGAGCCTAGCACGGTGGCTCACGCCTGTAATCCCAGCATTTTGGGAGGCTGAGGTGGGAGGATCACTTAAACCCAGGATTCGAGATCAGACTGGGCAATACAGGGAGGCCCTGTCTCTACAAAAATACAAAAAAATCAGCTGAATGTGGCAGTATGCACCTGTAGTCCCAGCTACCTGGGAGACTGAGGTGGGAGGATTGCTTGAGCCCAGGAGGTTGAGGCTGCAGTGAGCTGTGATCACACCACTGCACTCCAGCCTGGGTGACAGACAGCAAGACTCTGTCTTTAAAAAAAAAAAAAAAAAAAAAAAAAAAAAAAAAAAAAAAAGATAGCATTTTTTACCTCAAATAATGACAGAACGCAGAATATTTCTCAGCAATAAGAAAAGCCACCCCAAGAAGCAGCAAAGAGATGGGCTCACAGTCTCTGAAAAGGAAGTCAGTCATTAGCCACCTTCTGACATCCTAGCAATTAGCTGGTCTTGGGAGAAGAGCAGGTATCTCCAGAGAGGTGCCAAATAAATAGGATAAGAGACTATAAAAATGAAAAGCCTTTTGGCCTTTCATCACAGGATAATCCAATGCATGCGAATTAATGGTGAAAGGCTCAGTAATAGCCTTTGTGAGGAAATAGGAGCAGTGTAGCAGGATATCCTTTTTCCGCACTAAAGCACCCAATTCTTTCAATTTTATATACAGCGGAAGCAATTAATTGTACTAGAAAGAAATCCACAGCTGGCTTTTCCTGATGGCCTCATAAGCAACAAGCACTATTGTTCAGTTTCCGGGACAGATGTAAAGTCATTCTATTGCACTGCTGAGATTTTTCTGAATGTTTAGTTTGACTTCTCCAAAGATAACTTATGTGTTAACATCTAAAATTTGATTCGTCTTGTCATCACACATTTTCAGTATAAGCAACTGTCAAAAAGTTAATTTTTATTGTGCTATTGCACTCCAGCCTGGGCAACAAGAGTGAAACTCCATCTCAAAAAAAAAAAAAAAGTTAATTTTTGATTTGTAATATAATCCAGCACGTGACTTGATGCTGGTATTTTTTCCAAACGTTATGTGACTGAATCATGTTATTCACTTTTGTTTGTTTTACATGTTTACATGCAGTTGAACTGCACTGCCTCTGCTTTTGTGGTATCATCCACAGTGTGGCTATTCAGGAATCAGGCATAACAAGATTATACATCAAAAACTCAGAAATTTAACATTTCAAATGCTGGCCTGTATGGCATTGCTTCACCTTCTAGATGCATTAAAATACACCATATTTCATTAATTCTCAGATGCACATTTTTTTTGACATTTGAAACTTTCTGGAATTGCGATATCTTAATTAACGTGTCAGGGTTTAACTGGCAAGGTTTTTCTTCCTTAGTTGTACATAAAATAATGATGGATCTTATAATCAACAGTATCCATGCTGTTCTTTGGGTGGAAAAAACCCACAACGAAACAGTACCCTAGTTTTGATGACATATGGTATACATAGTTAAAATCTCATGAGTATGATGTGTTATTGCAAGTGTAACAACAGAACAACTCTTTATTTATTTTTTCTGAGACATGGTCTCCCTCTGTTGCCCAGGTTGGAGTGCAGTGGCATGATCACAGCTCACTGCAACCTCTGCCTTCTGGGCTTAAGGGGTCCTCTTGCCTCAGCCTCCCGAGTAGCTGGGATGACAGGCAAGTGCTACCATGCCTGGCTAATTTTTGTAATTTTTATAGAGATGGGGTTTTGCCATGTTGCCCCGGCTGGTCTGGAACTCCTGGACTCAAGCGATCTGCCTGCCTTGGCCTCCCAAAGTGCTAGGATTACAGGGGTGAGCCACTGTGCCTGGCCTAGAATAACTCTTTTTACCAAGAAAAATATTCACGTCAATCAAATAAATAAAAACTTTAATTACATATCTTATATGGGATTCTAACTGACTTCATTCTGACAAATATACAATTTGCCACTTTCATTTTTCTCTCTATCAATCAACCAGTTCTTTTAAATAATATCTACTCTTTTTTTTTTTTGGTGCTGAAACCCACAGTCGAAAATATCTACTTTTCTGATTATAAAAGTAACATTGGGCCGGGTACAGTGGCTCACGCCTGTAATCTCAGCACTTTGAGAGGCCAAGGCGGGCGGATCATGAGGTCAGGAGTTCAAGATCAGCCTGGCCAACATGGTGAAACCCCGTCTCTACTAAAAATACAAAAATTAGCTGGGTGTGGTGGCGCACACCTGTAGTCCCAGCTACTCAGGAGGCTGAGGCAGGAGAATCACTTGAACTCGGGAGGCAGAGGTTGCAGTGAGCCAAGATCATATCATTGCACTCCAGCCTGGGCGACAGAGCAGACTCTCAAAAAAAAAAAAAAAAAAAAAAAAGTAACGTATAACATTGTCCATTGTGGGGGAGATAAAGCTTATGGAAGAAAATAATAACCATCCATTAGGCCACCACAGAACACTGCCAACGTTTTCTCTTTATTTCAGGATAATCTATTTCTTTATAAACACACATATTTAATAATACAAAATTAACAAATGCTTAAATATATCTTGTCAAATGTCCTGAAAGGTATATAATGTTACACAATAAAAAAGCGGGTTCTTTAAGCAAGCCAGGGACCAGCCTCCCCATTGCCACTGGAGTAGAATTTTCTGGTGTTCGACAGGATCACGTGCAGATGTTGCAATGCATAATTCCAGGGAGCACCATTCGTGTCAGGCAGGTTGCGAATGGCACCCCCTTAAAGTTGTGCAACCTAGCAACCCTGGTGCTCAGTACCGTGACCATAGCGACAGTGGTACATACGCAGGGGAGATAGACAGGAGGGAGGATGCAACAGCACAGCAGATGCATCAAGGAGTTTGCAACTACCCACCAACCTTCAAAACAATGGATTCGCAGAAGCAAGGATTCAATAACTGGTAAGCTCCAGTGGCCTGGGACTGCTTTTTTGATACTACGTGTATTTTGGTACTCCCTAAACTGTCTCCCTCAGGCTGAGAGGCCCCTATTTATGTTGAAGAACAAAGGTATGAAAACTTATTTGTGAGAAAGACATAAGAACAGCTAAGCTATGTGGAAAGTCAGTGATGTAGACCATTGAGAGAAAAGCCTAAGGAGATGAGGATGGAGTAGTCAAAGATGACTTCTTGGAAGAGGTGGTACTCAGGCAGTATAGGGAGGAGAATGGCATTAAATGGAGAATGAATATGGTCCATTCTTCAGAAAGTAGTGAGACCAGTCTAACGAAATGTTACTCTATAGCAGTGTTTTCAGATTTAATGGGACTGGTGTTTCACAATAGAAATCTAAACAACTGGGCAACATTAGTTGAAAGAGGGAATGACCAATTAGGAGGAGAGCTAGCAGCATTCAGGATCGGAGGAAGAGGGGCTTTAAGGTAGGTAGCAAACTAAATGGAAACTAATCTGCATTTTAAAATAAACACTGACAAGTATTGGTTACTGGTTATATATATGACTATGTATGCCTTTGAAATAATAAAGGAAGTTGTTTTAAAGTTTATTTATTGAGAACAAGTTGTTAGATGATAGTTCTGTTATTATGATGTACAGGATTTGTTAGTAGACTCTCATTCCAACAAGATAAGTGCTTTATCATTAATCCTCAAAAATATGGAAAAACAAAACAAAACAAAACACCTAACCCTGCCTTGGCTAATAGAAATAAAAAGAAATGCGCCAGGGCAAACTACCAGTAGAGAACAAAATTAAGTATGTCATTCATTTAATAAATACTTACTGACTACCTACTGGTGTGCCAAGCAGCACACTGGATACAATGGAGTGAGAATGAGACAGTTCCCATTCTCTGAACTTTTGAGTCCAGCACAGGGTCAGGTACTTTCAACATATCCGATGGGTAAACTAGTATGCCTGGTCACACTGGTGACACCACACCACATCTAGGAATACATCCCAATTACCATGTAAGCCATGGACAGTAGGCACAGTATGGTGTTCATGAATCTGCACTCCTGATCCAGATTTTATCTCCCCAGTTATCTCAGCTTGAATCTTTTATCATCGCACCTTGCCTTCCTTTTACTAGTCATTCCCAAGGTAATCATATTCAGCTCCACATGCTGGATTTCTGGACTACTAGCTCCAAAGGAATTCTTGAGTAGAATCAGTGTTTAGGGATACTAAGAAGAATCAGACATGGGTCTTTTCATTTTTGAATGTATGTATGGGTTTTTTGTGTGTATACACACAAACATATGTACATGCATACGTACATATATGTACATATGTGTACATGCATACTTACATATGCACACATATGCACGCATACACATGTGCACATATGCGTGCGCACATGCACATGTGCGCACATACGCATATATGCACGTGTGCACATACGCATATGCGCACGTGTGCGCACATACGCATATGCGCACATATGTGTGCACACATACGCATATGCGCACATATGTGTGCACACATACGCATATGCGCACATATGTGTGCACACATATGCATATTTGTGTGTACATATATACATATATGCATATACTTACATATGTACACAAACACCTACACACACACACAAAGTTCAGACTAGAAATCTATTTGAATTATATTCAATAGATTATATACACACACACCCCTATTACACTTGGATTAATTTTTAGCCAGAAAAAAATATATATATAGCTTTTTTTTTTTTGAAACAGAGTGTCGCTCTGTTGCCCGGGCTGGAGTGCAATGGCGAGATCTGGGCTCACTGCGACAAGCGATTCTCCTGCCTCAGCCTCCCAAGTAGCTGGGACTACAGGTGCCTGCTGCCACATCCAGCTAATTTTTGTATTTTTAGTAGACACAGGGTTTCACCATGTTGGCCAGGCTGGTCTTGAACTCCTGACCTCAAATGATCCACCCACCTTGGCCTCCCAAAGTGCTTGGGATTACTAGCATAAGCCACCACGCCCAGCCAAAATTACATATAATACACCTTTAATATGTACTTAGTGTATGTCCAGAGCATATATATTATATATAGTTTTCATCTGGTTAAAAAATAATCCAAGTGCAATAAACCAGGTGCTGTGAGGATAGGGAAAAGCAGGGCAGTGAGCTGCAGCAGGACAGGGAAGGCCAAGATCTACTGTGGGCTGCGTGGGAGTTGGGGTAGGGAGGCCCCAGCTCCCGGTGCTCGGTGGGAGGAACCATAGTCCTCTAGGCAGTGCCTGATAGCCAGAGAGTAGTGAGCAAACAACAGGTGGTAGTCCAGGAGCGCAGTGGGGATGGGGACATCCAGCCTGAGGTAATGGGGGAAGGGAGGCCCAACAGATAGATAGAATACAGATACAGGGAGCCTAGAAACAAAGAGCTGGAGGCAATTAAGTGATGCCACCAACAATACCTACAACTGCCCAGCAGTCTGGGTGCAGGGATGCAGCTAAGTCCAAACAACAAGCAGAGAAATTCCAGGTCCTGGCAAGCTAACAGGTCAGGGTTTCAGACACAAGAGAAGGGCTGTCAGTTCTTAGAAAGGGGCGAGGCAGTGGGAGGCTGAGTCTTGAGCTTGGGACCAAAGCTCTGATAATTCTTCCTGCCTCAAGGCCTAGGAAAGATCAGGTTCTATGGTAAAGGGTGTACGGATAGTAGGGAAAGGAGGAATACAGAGGCCACGGACTAGGTAGGACCAAGTGAGAGCAGCAATATCCTCCATCATCTATCTTTCAATCATAGTAGCCAGTGCTTTGAGGCAAAGATAAATTAAAATGGAGCTAAGGGAGAAGGAGCAAGTTGTTTAGAAGTAAACAAAAGAAGTAAAACACTGTACCACCACAATGAAAATGAATTCAGGTTTTTAAACTTCCTCTATTTTGTGCACTGAATTATATACATCCATCTTATTCTTAACCACAGTTTCTGTTTCAGTTTAGTCCTTCTAAGCCATGATGGGGTACTACTAACCAAAAAAAAAAAAAAAAAAAAAAAAGATGTAGTAGTGTCCATGCTGAAAAATGAAGCTGTTTATTCTCCCTAACACCTACCCATTTAATATTGGGTTTGAAGCCAACCTAAAGGGTCACCCTACCAATGGCATTCCTTCACTCGTGCCTCCTTACTGGCCTCTAACTTATCATCAGACCCAGAGACTTCGTGCTGCCTTTTGCCTTATAAGATCTTTACAACATGAAAATGACTTTGAATGGATTAGCTTGGATTAATCTATTCACCTTGGATCCCTGAAGGCAGAAGTCCCATTTCACTGAAGAGGATGTGATCCACAGCTTTCCCAGCCAACCTTCACTCTTTCCAAGATAGCCATGCCACCCTCTAACACTAAAAGGGTCTTGGTGACAAGGTTTAGAAATGCCTAGAGGATATGTATGCTTATTTCTCTTCTCTCATTTAACAAATATTCACTTGCCAGGCACTAGGCTCTGAGGAGAGAGTTGAGAATAGATTGACAAAGTCAAGCTGGCCTGTAGTCCCAGCTACTTGGGCGGCTGAGGGGGGAGGATCACGTGAGCCCAGGAGTTCCAGGTTACAGTGAACTATGACTATGCCGCTGCACTCCAGCCTGGGTGACAAAGTGAGAACCTGTCTCTAAAAAAAGAGAGACTGACAAAGTCTTTTGCTCATGGAGTTTATATTCTAGTGGAGCAGAGGGGCTCAGACCACAAACAAATAACTAAATGCACGATGTAATTAATGAATGCTGCTTTGGGCATGTAACAACTACCTCTCTTGTGACCTACCTGGACAGAAGAAAAGACCATTTCCAGCCTATTCTAGTAACCCACTTAAAGGAATACCAACACATTACGGAATGTTAACTGTGGATCCCGAGATGTTGCTTTTGAGTTTGGGGGCCAGAACACACGTGTCCAGATGTCTCCCTGGGCAGACAGACCGGAGAAACGGGCTGGCATGCATAAACATGCCAGTAGCCAGGGAGAACAGCATGCCCCACTAGCTGCTGGTAGCCAGGGCGCTGAGGATTGAAGCCTGGGTACTAGCTGGGCCTTATCAAAGGAGAGCGAAAAATTCCTGAAGATTTGAAAAGGAGAGTCTTTTGCAGAGAAGCAAACATATCACGACTTAAAATTTGATGCTTCAATTTTGCTCTCATTTCTACAGTGGCAGATAACACAAGCCAGGGAATACTCATTTGTACATTTCAGAAACTTGATGTACTAAGGTTCCCACCTGAGATTGTTGTCTATTTTATAGACCAATTCATATGTCTAAAAATCCAACTAGACTATAAAGAGCATAATAACACGCTTGCCATGGTTTTCTCTGCCGACACATTGCTCAGCATACGTCAATGAGAGCTTTGACCAATCAATGTGAATCTCCTTAAGCAAAAGGCCCATCTTTTCCTTTAGAACTAAAGCTGGGGCTGGGCGCAGTGGCTCACGCTTGTAATCCCAGCACTTTGGGAGGCCGAGGCGGGAGGATCACGAGGTCAGGAGATCGAGAACACCTATTAACACGGTGACACCCCGTCTGTACTAAAAATACAAAAAGTTAGCCGGGCGTGGTGGCGGGCGCCTGTAGTCCCAGCTGCTCAGGAGGCTGAGGCAGGAGAATGGCGTGAACCCAGGAGGCGGAGCTTGCAGTGAGCCGAGATGGCGCCACTGCACTTCAGCCTGGGCGACAGAGCGAGACTCCGTCTCAAAAAAAAAAGAACAAAAAAACCCCAAAAAACAAAAAAACTAAAACTGGGTATTATGAAGGAAACTTGAGAAAGAAAAGTGACCAATTTTAGTTGATGCAAGTAATCTCACGTATCCTCTTCTTCCTGCATAGCAAGATACTACAACCCATGACTGTCAAACCTGAGACAGCTGAAGAGCCCAGAAAAAAAGATTAGGGAAGAAAACAGAATTGAAAAATAATTCAGAATGACAGAGGCTATCTGCAGCATTAAGGGCAAAGGCGGGTAAAAGAAGAAAAGGGAGACAGAATAAAAGATAAACCAAAAAATTGAAACAAAATACACGGGAATTCAAACATTTATACCAGAATATAAGGGAATACCCTGGAATCTAAACACCTCTTCAGGCAAGAATGTGTGTCAATACAAATGCCTGGCACATTGTTTTCCTTCCCCCTTTCTTTTTACCCAGTTTACCCAGTTTTAAAAGTGATTTTTTAAAATGCACCTTTAAAAGAACATCTTTTGTTAAGTGACTTAAACTTGATACATTTCTTGGATTACTAAGGAGGTTAAAGTCACATTTGGTGAAAAAGGGGCCTATCTCCTCTTTCCTCACATACGGGTCATCGAATACTTTTAAAAGCATTTTCCACCATGAATGAGGGGAAATGGAAGAAAAGAGGTGGTGACAATTATTTGCATTTTCCAAATGGACGGAATGAGCCTCCGGAGGGTACACGAGGTCACCAGCGTGAGCCCGCGGTGGAGCTGGAGGCGTATTTATAGCTGGCTGACCTCAGTCCTGTTGGGCCCTCGCCGCTCCTTATCTTATGCCGCTGGAATTCGCGGGCTCGCAGGTCACAGGAGCCCGGGCGCGCCGGGCCTGGCGCTCCCGAATCGATGAGGGAAGCCGCTCTCCCCGGCAGATCCTCCCGGCCGGGGAGCCTCCATCACCCTGCCTGCGCCTCGGCACGCTGGCAAGGAGCCCGGGAAGAGACGCCGGGAGCGGTGGGTGGGCGAGAAACAAATGCAATGTGACTTATATTTTTCTTTGTCGCAACTACCACGACCTGGCCATCCCCCACCTTGGTGACTTGGTGCCTTCCCAGCGACCTTATTTCACGCCAGCTGACTGGCGTTCACCGCAGTGTGAGTGTCGGCCGGAGGAGGGGTCCACGCGAAAGAGCCCGCGAGAGTGGGGATATCCGGCCCCGAAGGCCGGAGCGGGCGTCCAGGGCGCCGATGGCCGCAGCGCCCGGCAGCCGTGTCCACGCTCCCCTCCGCCGCGTTCCATCGCGTGCTACCTACGGCGTCTGCGGGAAGCTACCCGGGCGGCAGCTGTGGGGCTGGCTTGTGGGGAGGGGCCGGCGGGCCCGCGCGGAGGAGCAGCCCCGACTCCCGCCCGCACCAGCAGCTCGGCGCCCCCTTGCCGGCGGCTGGCCCTCCTCCCCGGCAACTGGGCGCCGGGCTCCGCGAACTCTTCGGGCGCTTCCGCCGTGCGCTCGGCTCTTTTCGTGTCCGGGGCGGGGCGGGGCAGGCGCCCGTGGTCGGGTGCGCGCGGCGCGGGCGGGGGCCTTCCCAGTGCGCGCGCGCCGTGCAAGGCCCGCGGACGCCCGCCCCTCCCCCAGGCCCCCGCACCCGCGCCGCCCCCTCCCCTCCTGGCAAGAGTCGGCGGCGGTGGCGGCGGCCGCTGCAGAGATTGGAATCCGCCTGCCGGGCTTGGCGAAGGAGAAGGGAGGAGGCAGGAGCGAGGAGGGAGGAGGGCCAAGGGCGGGCAGGAAGGCTTAGGCTCGGCGCGTCCGTCCGCGCGCGGCGAAGATCGCACGGCCCGATCGAGGGGCGACCGGGTCGGGGCCGCTGCACGCCAAGGGCGAAGGCCGATTCGGGCCCCACTTCGCCCCGGCGGCTCGCCGCGCCCACCCGCTCCGCGCCGAGGGCTGGAGGATGCGTTCCCTGGGGTCCGGGTGAGTTGGGAGTGCGCGTGCGGACCGGAGGGGCTGGCCGCAGCGGGGAGGCCAGAGGGGCTCGGGCGAGGCTGCAGAGGCAGCTGGGCGCGCGGTGGCCGGAGCCAGGGGCTGCCCGGCCCGGCCCCGGCAGCTCCGCAGGCCTCGGCGCGCGCTGGGCCGGGACCGCCCAGCCAGAGACCCACGGCACCCCGCGCCGCGTCCCCCGCCGGCCCCTCTTTTGTCTCCCACTCGCGGGTTGCAGGCCGAGTTTGGGGATGCGGAGTGGGCGAAAGTCGCTCCGGGGACGCTTCTGGAATCCTTAAATGGGAAAGGCGCTCACCTCCCCGCCCCGGAGCGGCGAGGCTGATATTTGTGATTTGGCTCCGGACGCTGTGGGGAGGAACAGGGGAGAACAAAATGAGTTTCGGGCGGGGGTCGAGTGAGAGGAGCAGCCGGCCCGCCCCCGAGTCCCCGCGGGAAGGGGCCCTGGCCCCCGAGCTCCCGGAGCTGCTTCACCTGTTGTCCTGCGCGGCCTCCGCTCCGTGGCCTGGTGATTCCGTACTTCAGTTTTGGAAAACTTTCTGCTGGATTGCCTGGACCCTTTTTTCTCTTTCCAGACTCCTAGTGGAAAGATTTGGCAAGGAAAAAAAAATGAGCTTGCGTCAGGGAAGAAAAATAATATGCTGTGTGTTAGGGTCTGGCGTTTGAGCGTGGTACTCTTTCATGCTCTCAGATGTTTTAATTTGGTCAAACTCCTGCAGGTTTTCTCTTTTAAGCGGTTAACAAACTGTTCAGAGTACATAGTATGAACTTGGCACCTGTGTTACGTCATTTAATCCTTACAACGATTCTGGTTTATTGTATTCCTCATTGTTTTAGGGGAAGAAACCGAGTCGCAAAGAGGTTAACTAACTTGTCTAAGGGAGCTGGGATTTGAACCCAGGAACATCGTATTCTGGCAAACGAATTAGGAAGAAAAAAAACCAAAACTGTTTGCAAACACTTTTACGTTTAGGAACATTTTTCAGTTACTCTTACTTGAAATTATCGCTATTTTGTTGCTGGAGTTGAAAACAACTACTTTATTGTATTTACTTGTGAGAGGAGTTAAACTTTGAATTAGAGTGTAACTTAATGCGTCTCATTGTTTTCAGTTGTTGAAATAAAGAATGTGAACCAGAATTATTTAGATTTTTAAATTTGAAGCTAAAATATGGGCAATTCTCTGATCTAGGAATGGGGTGAGTGTATGAAAGGCCGATTGAAATGTAGAATGCGTTTTTAGTAGAACCAGACTCAGTTCTTGTTTAATTTTTCCTCCATTTTCCGTGGAGCCCACTTTAAACTTTTTCTACTTTCTTCACTTCTCCCCACCCTTTACAGAAGAGGTTGAGGCACTTAGCAGGAGCTCCTTCATTAAATTCCTTCTGTTACTGGCTTCTTAACCTTCCGTCAAAGAGGGAGAATTTTTTTTTTTTTTTTTGTCTTTCTTATTAGTTAACACCTTGGGGTTTTTTTCCTTTCCTTCTAATTTTCCTGCTTAGTGGAGCGTGAGTTATTTTCTCTGTCGTATTTGGGTTCTTTAAAGTACAAATGTTCTTAAGATTTTTTCAGTTTACAAAAACCTTTTCTTAAGTCTGCTACTCCTTCAAGCTGTCTTGTTGCTGCTTTTCCTTTTCAAATCTTATTAACATTTTAAAAAGCTTGTTCGTAATAAAAGTAACACATGGTTGTTAATTGCGAACTAGCGCAACATTGAAATTAAAATTTAGTCATTCACAATCCATCTCTAGAGATTGCCAAGTGTAGTCTGCTTTTCCTGCCTTTGCCTGGTTGGTGGCTAGCCACTCATTTCTTAACCCCTTGTTATCTGGATTTCACCTTCACAAGGAACTATAACCTAATCAACACATTTAACTACCTTTTTCTAAGTCCTCTCCTTGAGTTTTCTGTAAGATTTAACATCGACTTCACATTTTCAGATGCCTCTCCTTGGGTTTCATTCATCTATACTCGCTGTATTCTAACACAGGGTCCAAGGCAGTAAGATACAACAGATCCTTCCCTCATGGAGCTTAAAGTCTAGTGGGGAAATACTTATTGAAAAATAAAGTCTCTAGTTAAATATAATTGTGATTTTAATTAAGGTGCAGAATATTATAAGAACTTCAAATGGAGACCTGATCTGGTGCTTGTGGTGGTGGGAGAATCTGGGAAAGATACCTTAAAATTGCTTTGTTGGAACCCAGGCAGATTGTGAAGGATGAGCAAGAGTTAACTATTAACTAGATGAAGAGGGGCCTTTTGTGACATTATACTGACTTTGTTCCTCTCCGCCACTTTTCTGCCTTCTGTTTCTTCTTTCCTCTTTAATATGCGTTCTCCAAGTTTCACTTTTCAGATCACTTTTCTCTATGTCTCTAGTCCCTTAGAATGATTGTTCAGACCTTTCTGTTGGAATAATTCTCAATTCTTTGTTTATGTGTCTTCTGAATCACGTTTTTTTGTTTGTTTGTTTTGTTTTTTCTTTTTTATTCAGTTGCTTTCTACATATCTGTACCTGATTGTTCTGAGCTGCTTTTCCTTAGCAAACTTGCCTCTTTGGTGTTCTTTATTTTTGTTGATGTCATACCAAACCCAAACCTTTTCCCATTTCATCATATCTTGTCTGTAGCCAACATCTGTTGATTCTGCTTTATGATATTGTAACTCTTCTGCTCTCTATTCTTGCTAACTGTGGGGCAATTCTGAATTCATATTGGTGTGAAGGTAGTAGTCAAATCATAAAACGAGTTGGGCAGCTTTCCTTCTTTTTCTCTTTTTCAGGATCATTTTAGACTGGGATTATCTGTTCCTTGAAAGTTTGGAAGACCTCCCCTATGTGACCATTTAGGCCTAGATCTTTTTTCTGGAGAGGACTTTGAGTAACACTTCAATTTCTTTAATAGCTGTTGGTTTGTGTCGATTTTCTGATTCTCATATGAATTTTAATGTTTCACATTTTTTTCAGGAATTTATTTTCAAATCTAGTGTTATTTGGCTTTCACGTAGTTCTCCCCCCACCACCCCGCGACTCCACCCCCACCCCCTAACTCTAAATCAAGTTCTCATCCCACCTGGACTAATGTTATGATTTTCTTGCCTTCACTTTTCTCCTTTATCTAATCTTATGTATTTCTGCCTAAATTAATCTGTAAGCCCAGTTCTTACCACTTCGCCACTCAGAAGTTTCCTAGGTCTTCCATTAAATGAAATATTTTCTGTGGTATTTGCCTCAGATTTACCTGTTTTTTTTTTTTTTTTTTTTTAATACCTTATTGTTTTTTCTTTCTTTCTTTCTTTCTTTCTTTTTTTTTTTTTTTTTTTTTTTGATACAGAGTCTCGCACTGTCGCCTGGGCTGGAGTGCAATGGCGTGAGCTCAGCTCATTGCAACCTCTGCCTCCTGGGTTCAAGGGATTCTCCTGCCTCAGCCTCCCAGGTAGCTGGGACCACGCCTGGCTAATTTTTGTATTTTTAGTAGAGGTGGGGTTTTGCCATGTTGGCCAGGCTGGTCTTAAACTCCTGACCTCAGTTGATCCGCTCGCCTCAGCCTCCCTGTGCTGGGGTTACACAGGTGAGGCACTGTGGCTGGCCTTTATAGCAGTTTTTATACAAATATTAGTTTCACTACTAGTTTGCAGGGTGGGTCTGTAACGGACTTTTCTTGCATATTAAAAGGAATAAATGGGGAAAGGCTCCTGTCTAGCCTAACAGTAGCTGTTGAACTGTCCTGATCTGACTATTGGATCTTAGGAGCAGCGAACCATGGAGAGAAAGGAAAATGGGTTTCCTATCACACTAAATTTTGAAGTAGGAACCATTTCTTTTCCTTTTCTACTTTCCCACCTTTTACTAGTTTTTAGGCTTTAGGATGTCTTTTTAACATCACAAGGTCCATATTGACCAAGTTGGACCAACTTTTTAACACAAGATTAAATGTTGACTTGCATTGAGTTATGTCCATTGTAAGATACACAGTAGTGTTACAGACCACTTAAAATATGCTTCTAGTTGTAAGAAGCCATTGATTGTAAGGTGCACCCCAATTCCGGAGATGCTAAAATATGAAAAATGGATGCATCTTAGAATTGATGAATAGTGTTTCTCTCCCTAATCAAAGCTCTTGGATGTGCCTGGAAATCCCCAGTAGTGTTTTTTGAAAAGAACACTAGTTAGGGGCATAGGGAGATCAGATGATCAGTAGACTCCATCTCAGGGTGGCCCCTGTGGTCCCTAAGCCAGTTCGTATGGGCAGTTTAATATATAACTAATGAGTAGACATTGAATAGATGAGTAAATTATCTTTGAGTATCTTTTATTTACTCTGATGTTGTAGACTTTGTTACTCTTTTATAGTTTTATATTTCTGATGAGCCTTCCTTTCTTATGGCACAGATTTGTTATACTGTTAAAGTCTGGAACAGTGGAGCTTGGCTCTTGATCCAGCTGTATATAATTGGCTGTTGACTTATGAAGGAGGACAGGAGTATGCTAGAGATAGGGATAAAATATTATAATCACATTTGCAGTTAGGGAGATTAGTTACATGTTGGAAAATCATTTTGAAGAAAGGAAGACTGAAGATGTTCAAACTTGTAGGAAGGTCTTTCTGGCCTAGCCCGGATTAAACCCATTTATGCCTAGTGTTCCACTATTGGAACGCTAAGCACGTGGGAGTTATTTATATCCTGCTCAAGGTCATCACCAAGGTCTGATTGCAAAAATTCAAAAAATTGCAGCCTCAGGCATAAATGGGTTAAGATGGTGGCAGATAATTAGGGCCTGGAATGGATAGGAGGCGATAACTAGCGTGGATGAGAGAAGGAATGGGATTGGCAAGAACAACTCCTGGATTTCTAGCTTGGAAAGCAGGGTAGATGTGGGTGACAGATATGAAAAATGAGGTGGGAGAGCTGGTTTGTAGAAGAAAATAGTATTGGATCACATGGAGTTTGAGATATCTGAAACAGCCAAGTAGGGATTTCCACTTGGCAGTTGTCTATATGGGTCTGGGGTTTGACAGAGGTTTGTGCTGGAGGTAGGCATTTGGGAGTCATTGCTGTATAGATTTTATATTCCAACAGTGGGAATTGGGTGGCTCTCTCAAGTGACTCTTGCTTACAAGTGACAGCCCTAACTCAAGTTAGCTTAAAGGAGGGAAAAGCTTCTCCCCACTAACCCCCATGATATTGAAAGGTCTAGAAATAGACATGGCTGGACCTAAGTGCTCAAATGATATAATTAATTGAGGTTGTCTTTTCTGTTCTTCACTTTTGTGGTCTCATTTCAGGCAGGTGCATATATCTGGCAGAGGAAGACATAGGTTATAGGTTATAGAATTACAGGTTATAGGTTATAGACCTCGTATCGAGAACTCCTTGTATGGTCTAGCAAAGAGCCTAAAACAGCATTGAGAATTTTTTTTCTTTCTTTTTGAGACGGAGTCTTGCTATGTTTCCCAGGCTGGAGTGCAGTGGTGCGATCTGGGCTCACTGCAACCTCCGCCTCCTGGGTTCAAGTGATTATCCTGGCTCAGCTTCCCGAGTAGCTGGGTTTAACAGGCGCCCGCCAATACGCCTGGCTCCTTTTTGTATTTTTAGTAGAGACAGGGTTTTGCCTCGTGGGCCAGGCTGGTCTCAACTCCTGACCTCAGGTGATCCTTCCGCCTTGGCCTCCCAAAGTTCTGGGATTACAGGTGTGAGCCACTGCGCCTGGCCAGTCTTGAGAAATTTCAACTTAAGGCCTGGGTAGAGAAGATAGACATTAAATAATTATCTAGTTGTAGTTATGTTAAGATCTACAAAAAGGAAGTCCAGGGAATGTTACAAGACTGATAAGGGAAGCTGGGCTGTTCAGGATGCGGGTACTTTGGAAGGCTTTCCTGAGAAAGGTAGCCCGCAGAGTGAGACCTTAGGCAAGAAAGGACAAGGAGACTGTTTTTGGAAGTATTCAGTAGTATTTATTTATTTATTTGAGACGGAGTCTCACTCTGTCGCCCAGGCTGGAGTGCAGTGGCGTGATCTTGGCTCACTGCAACCTCTACCTCCCGGGTTAAGCGATTCTCATGCCTCAGCCTCCCAAGTAGTTGGGGTCACAAGCGTGAGCCACCACGCCTGGCTAATTTTTGTATTTTTAGTAGAGACGGGGTTTCGCTGTGTTGGTCAGGCTGATCTCGAACTCCTGACCTCGTGATCCGCCCACCTCGGCCTCCCAAAGTGCTGGGATTACAGGCATGAGCCACTGCGCCCGGCCAGAAGTATTCGGTAAAGTGAGCAGTTTTTGCAGCTTTTTAAAAATTTTAAAGGCAATACATCTATTGTGGGTAATTTGGGAAGTATAAAAAGCCATAAAGAAGCAGCGGAATGATTAAGTTTCAGCTTCTAATTTTTTATAAATAATGTCTGATACTGGTTTTACTACTGAGTACCTATTCAATCACGGATGCCACACTAACCCAATCCGAATCTTCGTTTCTTTATCTTAAAAAATAGAAGGAACATGGTGAACTTTAAGATAATTTTTCTGCTTAAAAAAAGAAAAAGAAAGAAAATATCTTGACTTGCAGCACAGTTAGCTGCCGAAATTGAAGGTCATATAATGCTTTTGGTCCTAATGACATCACTGGACTTCTGACTTTTGGCTGAAGAATCACGCCAGCCTTGGCAGTCCTTGCAAGTACCAAAGGGAGTATGGCTTATGCCTGCGGTGCCCTTCCCGTATCCTGCTTTCTTACCTCCTTTTTTGAGCATTAATTTTTTTTTCTTTAGCCTTTGGGTAAAGTATCAAAATGTTGAGAAGATAGACTCTCAATTTTGAAGGTGAGAAATCTGTAGGAGACTTGGATAGTTGTTTTTTTTTTTTTTTTTTTGAGACGGAGTCTCGCTCTGTCGCCCAGGCTGGAGTGCAGTGGCGCATGTTGGCTCACTGCAAGCTCTGCCTCCCGGGTTCACGCCATTCTCCTGCCTCAGCCTCCTGAGTAGCTGGGACCACAGGAGCCCGCCACCACGCCTAGCTAATTTTTTCTATTTTTTAGTAGAGACAGGGTTTCACCGTGTTAGCCAGGATGGTCTCAATCTCCTGACCTCGTGATCCTCCCGCCTCAGCCTCCCAAAGTGCTGGGATTACAGGCGTGAGCCACCACATCTGGCTGACTTGGATAGTTTTGATACTGTTTTATGTATATTAAGATTTGTAGGTAGTTTTCTTACTAGTAATTAAAATGCTTTGTAATGTATTTCAAGAGTATAGGGTCTTGAGTGTTTTAAATTTGTATATAAGAATGTTTTAGATTCCTGGCTAAAAGAAGCTCTTGTTAGAAAATATTAAAGTAAAGGCTGTTAAATTTTGGTGAGGCTCTTAATGTCTGCATTTTTCAAGAATCATTTAAAAATGTCATGAAATAAAAATATTTCAGTGGTAACTGTTCAGAAGTATCTTAAATGTATACCAAATCAATGAAATATAATCGCTGGGTGACAGATTATTCTTCCTTCATTTTATAATCTTTTATTTAATAAAAATGTGGGGGAAAAATTGCATGTTGAAGTTGTACGTGTATATTTTAGCAAAAACTGTTAATCTTTCTGAAGTACTGCTTTGGTCATCATCCCTATTTGTTAAATATTTTTCCCTGTTTTCTTATTTGCTTACAATAGAAAATCCAGAATATCTTGGACTGGTCTCCTGCTCTGGCCAAGTCAGCCTTTTCTGCTTTGCTTCCTTTCCTACTATTTTATCAGCCTAAGTCACGTAAATATCCGATTCAGGTTTGGGTTCAGAATCCTTAGACCTCTACTGTCCACTACAATAGATAGCCACTACCACATGTGGCTGTTGAAGACTTGAACTGTGGCTAGTCTAAGTGTGAATTACGTACCAGATTTTGAAGATAGTACCAAAAGATGTAAAATATCTCATTATGCTTTTAAAATATTGGTTATATAGTGAGATGATACTGTTAGGGATACATTGGATTAAAGAAATATATTAAAACTGATTTTGGCCGGGCATGGTGGCTCATGCCTGTAATCCCAGCACTGTGGGAGGATTGCTTGAGCCCAGCAGCTTGAGACCAGCCTGGGTAACGTGGTGAGACCTTGTCTCAGTTAAAAAAACAAAACTGATTTCACAGGATTCTTTTTACTTTTTAAATGTGGCAACTAGAAAGTTTAAAATTACACGTCATATTGGACAGTACTGCCTTTGACTTTCCTTTCCCTGGTTCTTTGCCCATCAGAATGCTTTAAAATCTAGTATAAATCCTTGGCCAGGTGCTGTGGCTCACGCCTGTAATCCCAGCACTTTGGGAGGCCGAGGCGGGAGGATCACGAGGTCAGGAACTCGAGACCAGCCTGACCAACATGGTGAAACCCCATCTCCACTAAAAATACAAAAATTAGCCGGGTGTGGTGGCACGCCTGTAATCCCAGGTACTCAGGAGGCTAAGACAGGAGAATCACTTGAACCTGGGAGGTGGAGGTTGCAGTGAGCCGAGATTGCACCATTGCACTCCAGCCTGGGCGACAGAGTAAGACTCTGTCTCAAAAAAAAAAAAAAAAAAAAAAGAATATTCCTCTCTCTCCTATGAAGCCCTCCTCAGTGGTCCAAGCCTCATAGTTGGCTCTTTGCTGCATCATTATTTGAAGATAATCTTTTGGTATATTAGATTTCTTTACTACAAACCTTCTCAGAACTTTTAATATGCTAATACACATGGTGAAACTCTAGTATAGTTTCCCTAACTACGTATTACCATAGAACTGTGTGTTTTCTGTTAACAGAAGTTACACATATTTGTGGTTGAAATTTCAAACAATACAGAAATGAAGTAATGAAAGTCTTCTGTAATCATGCTTCACCTGTGCCCCAAGATTGCCACTGTTGAAAGTATAGAGCTAGAAAAAATTTTCTTTTCTGTTGCCTTCTTTCTTTTTTTCTGTCCCCATTTCCTAAAATGGGGTCATACGATACATCCTTATCTTTAAATTTATTTTCACTGAATATATAGGGGGATTCTTTTTATGTCAGTAAATTTCAATTTCCTCATTCTTTTTTTTTTTTTTGAGGGAAGGTCTTGTTCTGTTGCCCAGGCTGCAGTGGTGCTGTGGTGCAAACAGCTCACTGCAGCATCCAACTCCTGGGCTCAAGCAATCCTCCCATCTCAGCCTCCTGAATAGCTGGGACCAGAGGTGCATGCTACCATGCCCAGCTAATTAAAAAATTTTTGTGTGTGTGGAGGTGGGATCTCACCATGATGCCTAGGCTGGTCTCGAACTCCTGGGCTAAAGTGATCCTCCCACCTAGGCCTCCCAAAGTGCTGAGATTACAGGTGTGAGGTGTTGTGCGCAGCCTTAATCATCTCATTCTTTATAGTAGTTAAGCAGTTATTCCATTTTCTGATTATACCTTAATTTTACTTACCAGTTTCGTGTTAATGAATAATTAGATTATTTCCATTTTTTTCTTTTGCATTGCAAATATGCTGTGGTGTTTGTACATATCCTTTGAGACTGTTTTTATTTTATGAAATGAATTCTTAGAAATGCATTTACTATAAGAGAAGCCGTGCAGATTGGATGGAAAGTGCCAAGCCACCCTGCAAAATCTTCGTAACCATTCATATTCCAGCCAACAGTATTTGAATATGTTCTCTCCTCCCAACATAATCATATCAGTCTTTTTTTTTTTTTTTTGAGACGGAGTCTCGCTCTTTCACCCAGGCGGGAGTGCAGTGGCGCTATCTCTGCTCACAGCAAGCTCCGCCTCCTGGGTTCATGCCATTCTCCTGCCTCAGCCTCCCGAGTACAGGCGCCCGCCATCACACCTGGCTAATTTTTTTTTGTATTTTTAGTGGAGACGGGGTTTCACCGTGTTAGCCAGGATGGTTTTTTTTTTTTTTTTGGAGACCGAGTCTTGCTCTGCTGCCAGGCTGGAGTGCAGTGGTGCCATCCTGGCTCACTGCAGCCTCTGCCTCCCGGATTCAAGTGATTCTCCTGACTCAGCCTCCGGAGTAGCTCAGACAACAGGTGCACGTCACCATGTCCAGCTAATTTTTGTATTTTTAGTAGAGACAGGGTTTCACCATGTTGGTCAGGATGGTCTTGATCTCGTGACCTCGTGATCCGCCCGCCTTGGCCTCCCAAAGTGCTGGGATTACAGGCGTGAGGCACCACGCCCGGCCATATCAGTCTGTTTTTATCTTTGCCAGTTTGCCAGCTGAAAAAACATTCATGATATAAGGTTTCTTTGCTGTTGTATGAATATTAAAAAACAAAAAATTTTAAGTTTCATTTGTCTTATACTCTCAACTTGTTATACGCTCCTTTGATTTTTGTGCTAAAATATTTCGTATTGCTAACAGTACACATGCATGCTTTGTACAAAGTAAATGTTCAGATATTTGTATCTGTTCATGGCAAAGGCGTCCAGAATATGCTACTGCAACATAAAAATTATTTGGAAACCTGGTGGCTCATGCTTGTAATCCCAGCACTTTGGGTGGCGGAGGCAGGAGGATCACTTGAGCCTAGGAGCTCTAGACCAGCCTGGGCAATATGTTGAGACTCTGTCTCTACAAAAATTTAAAAATCAATGAGATGTGGTGGTATGCACTTGTAGTCTCAGCAACTCAGGAAGCTGAGGTGGGGGGATCGCTTGAGCCCAGGAGTTCGAGACTGCAGTGAGCCATGATCTTACACTGCACTCCAGCCTGAGTGACAAAGCAAGACCCTGTCTCAAACAAACAAAACATATATTTTAATCTGGAAACATTTGAGAATAGCTTTTTTTTCCTCCTGAACTCCCTTGTCTGCCTAAAACTAGATCCTCCCCCAAAGAACTCAATTGTCATAACTTCCAGTTGTCATAAATCCCTTCCTTGGGAGTTTTGCAAGCAGGGAAGATGGTCTCTTGTCGCTGGAGAGAATTTGGCACCACACCTAAACAGACATTGTTATAAACTATCCTATGTCCAACTGTTGTCCTAAGGGTCCATTTGTCTTTCCTACATGTTACTTGTTTTCCTGCAACAGCCCATTGTTCTTTTCTAGTTCCAGTTCCCCTAGTAAGATGGTACACATGCCCCAAATTCGGACAGCCCCCTTGGGTCACATTTTTCTGTGAATTATTCTACATATGTGAATCAAATCTGTCATTTCTCTTGCAGATGTGTTCTTTGTCAGTTTAATTTATCAGACCTCAATTACTGAACCTAAGAGGGTGTAGGAAGTTTTTCTTCTCTGACAATGGCCAAATTGATATTTTTCTGGCTGTAAGGGCAAGGGATAATAATAAAGTAACGTTTTTCTAAGAATAAATATAAATATCTTAAATATAAAGAGCGTGAGTAAAGTTTCTTTAAAGTACATTAAAAAAACTGTTATCCAAAATGAAACATTTGTTAAAAGAAGTGGATTATGCTATTAAAGATGTGCCCCCCACCCCCATGTGTTTGTTCCTATCGTAGTAATGCTGATTGTTAATGGATGGCATAGTAACTTTAATTGTGTTCACAGGCCTTTGTTCTTAAAATTATGCACTCTTCCCTGTTTTTTCTTAGCATTTTATCAATTTGCATAGAAGAGAAAATGATTTGTAACAGGTTTCTCTGGTCACATCACTGAGGAGAGTCAACAAAAGAAGTCATTCAATTGAGGTTAAATCTTTACACAAAGAAGGCATTAATAGCTTAAAAGAATAAAGAAATCCTGATATGGTTATTGTGACTTTTCCATTTATCTGGTTATGAAATAACTAAAAAGGTTAATTAAATGTTGGCTTATTTCTAGGTTTAGTTATGCATCGGTGTGTTTATTGCTTTCTGTGCCTTATTACACTCTGCTTACTAGGTTTGTGACCTTGAGCCAAAGTTGTTAATTACTCTAAGCCTTCTTTTCTCATATGTGAAACAAGGATAATAATGGTCCTCTCTCTCAGGGCTACTGTGAGGACTAAATGAATGATGAGTGCAGTTCAGTGCTTAACACTGTGCTTGCCACTGTAGTAGCTTAATGAATGTTAGTGAAGATGAGTATTTCTGAGAGAAATAAGCAGGACAGTTCTATCTTAAAATGCAGGTTTGAATGGCTTCACATACAGGGTCCTTGAAAATTAAATCTGATCTTGTTGCTTTCTAAAAGTATGCATTATTTTAGCTTCCATGTTAATATTCACATTTGAATTTGCAAAATGCTTCTGTGTATCATCAGTACTGGCAAATTGATATAGGAAATTTTGTTGCTTTTCCTGCTTTGTACATCAAGAATTGGAGGCTAATGAAGGTTAATTTTCCCACCAATGTCAAACAAGTTGGTGTAAAAGAGTAAATAGATCTAGAGCTGAACTCTGTAGTTCTACCTACTAGGGAGGCTGAGGTGAGAGGATCACTTGAGGCCAGGATTTTGCAGCTGTAATGCATTATGAGAATAATGTGCTATGTAAATAGCAACTGCGCTTCAGCGTGGACAACATAGCGAGACCCTGTCTCTAAAAAGAAAAAAGTAAATAGAATCAGACTTTTCCTCATTCACTCAGAGTGGATGATTAGGACCTCAAAGTTACATATAAAGTAAAGTCAAAGACTCCACATGCTAAAGAAAGCCCTAGGCATTAGTGGCCAGAATCCTTTCCAGGGCTTATTAAGATGTGGCAGAATTAGGTCACAAGTTGGGGGGAGAAGGAATTGTGCCAGAATTGTCATTGCAGCTATTAGTTTGCCTAGCAGGGAGCACTGTAGTTTTTCTTCCCTTCTCCTTCCCTTGGAGTGTCCTTCCCTTAGAAACTTAGTGTGGAGAGGTCTAAGAGAACCATTCCTGGAGGTTAAGAATACTAGCAGAAGATGGAATGGAGTATCTGATTACCTAGGCAGTATTAATTACGCAGCAGGCTGGTTTATCTGTACCTATTTGAGCAAAGGATAAGGAAAATTAGAAATCCCAGTGTGGATGGAGGGGTGGCAGTGACCTTCTTTTAGTTCAGGTGGGTAATGCAGATGTAACCAGGCACCAGCCTTCTTGCCAGGCAGGCTGTGCTGGACAGGGGAGCAAAAGTAGTTGGAAGAGGGTGAGCTGAGGCTGGGCAAGGTGATGCAGACCTATAATCGCAGTACTTTGGGAGGCCGAGGTGGGAGGATCATTGAGCTCAGGAGTTCGAGATCAGCCTGGGCAACATGGCGAAACCCCGTCTCTACAAAAAGTATAAAAATTAGCTAGGCGTGGTGGCGGGCGCCTGTGGTCCCAGCTGCTCAGGAGGCTGAGGTGGCAGATTGGCTTGAGCCCAGGAGGTTGAGGCTACAGTGAGCTGAGATCGTGCTACTGCACATCAGCCTAAGTGACAGTGAGGCCCTGTGTCATATTCCCAGCTTCTTGGGCAACTGAGGCAGGAGGACTGCCTGAGCCCAGAAGGTTGAGGCTGCAGTGAGCTATGATCTTATCACTGCACTTCAGTCTGCGAGAGAGAGACCCTGTCTCAAAACCAAACAAAACAATACAACAAATGGAGGGTGAGCTGAAGCAGATCTTCAGGTGGGCTGAGAGCCTCTAGTCTCCTTTGTCATGAAAGAACCCCACTTGTCCCCAGAAGAAAAGCTATCATTTGTCTGCTTGTGATACAGACAGTGTAGTCAGTATTAGCCAGGAAAGTGGCAACTGAGATAGCTACTCCAGTCTCTCTCCTCCCTCCCCTATTCATCAGACCACACCCCTTCCTCCAGGCTAGCTCTCTTGGACTGGGTGCACCCAATCTGAATTTGAAGAGAAAGGAGGTGATTGTAAGACTGAAGATTAACGTTTTAAACTGTACTTTTTAATAACCAAAAGCTATAGGAACTTTTCAAGATCTCCATAAGAAGTGGAAAAGGGAGATTTGACCAACCACAATTAGGGATAGGGATAGAGAAACAATTGTTTCTTGTGTTTGTACCGATTTCAGACCCTTTGTTAAGAGCCTTAAGTTCCCATTACCTTAAGTTCCCATTAAGGCCTTTGGACACATTAAGTTCCCATTAAGTTCCCACCAAGGCCTTTGGACACCAAATCCCATTCTCTTTTTCTCCGTATGAGGCTGTCACAGTACTATAGATGACCATTTGATCTTCTCAGTGGCCTGTTTCCAAATGCATTCTGATTCTCAATACTATTTTAGCATTAAGTGTATCATTTAATTTTATCTCAGATTTATAAGCTGTATATTATATGATAACCCTTTTAATTGGAATATTAATTCAAATATCTTAATTCCTTTTTATGGAATTGTTGGAGTTTATCAAACCTTGGAAACGTTAAATAACATAAAAAGCACTCAAAAAGAAACACTAATTCAATATTTTATTTTTACTTAGTGTTTGAGATTTTGAATTTTAGAAAGTTTTAAATTAATATTCAGCTGTTATTCACATATAAAAGGTAAGTAGGTTTTAGTTTAAAGAATGTTGAGCAATAAAATATAAGATTGAGATGGATTAAATGGTATCTGACATATTTCCTTACTCTGAATCGATTTAACCTTTACAAGTATTCTATGATATAGTTACTATTATCAGTTCCCTTTTACATGAGGAAACTAAGGCTGCAGAGGTTAAGTAGCTTGTCAAGGGTTGCATAGTTCCTAAGTGGCAGAGCTGGGATTCAAACCCAGGCAGTCTGGATTTTAGAGTCCATGCTCTTAACCACATAATTATATTGTCAAATGGAGGAGGAGAATTTTAAGATGAGGATGTGTACTAGGCACAGAGTTGACTTTTAACAATTAACCTCTCTTTTAATATTTAAAACGTGGTAGAGATTTTCCACATTTAAATTTTCCACAGTTAATCTTTGAGATTGATTGATTGATTGATTGAAGCAGGGTCTCACGCATTCCATTCCCCAGGCAGGAGTGCAGTGGTGTGAACATGGCTCACTGTAGCCTCGGCTGCCTGGGCTCAAGCTTAGATCCTCCCGCCTTGACCTCCCAAAGTGCTGGGATTACAGCTGTGAGCCACTGTGCCTGGCTCCAATTTATACTTTTTTACTTTACTGATTTTGTTTTTCCTTTGCATCTTAAACAATATTAAAAGGTCAGTGGCATATAGTTGTTTAAAAAAATATTTATCCAAAATTCTTCCCACATACCTTCTTTAAAAATTAGTGCTTTTTTTTTTCTCATCTCTGAGATGTATACATGTTTAATTGGCGATGGTCAGAGATAGGTTTTTTTTTTTTTTTTTTTTTTGAGACAGAGTCTTTCTCTGTCGCCCAGGCTGGAGTACAGTGGCACGATCTTGGCTCAGTGCAAGCTCCACCTCCCGGGTTCACGCCATTCTCCTGCCTCAGCCTCCTGAGTAGCTGGGACTACAGGCGTCCTCCACCATGCCCGGCTAATGTTTTGTATTTTTAGTAGAGACGGGGTTTCACCGTGTTAGCCAGGATGGTCTCGATCTCCTGACCTCATGATCTCCCCACCTTGGTCTCCCAAAGTGCTGGGATTACAGGCGTGAGCCACCGCGCCCGGCCAGAGATAGATCTTTTTTCACAGCTTTACCATGAGTATTACTCTTAAAATAAATGACCTTGGGTAGGTGCTTGCATAACATAATTATGTTATTTGTATCGTTTCATAGAATAAATTAAAACCTACCCTGTGAGAGAACAAGAAGAAAAAGAGAGTCAGTTGAAAATGAAAGTGATTAAGTCCATCTGTGGGGCAGTTTTTGGAGTCAGATTGAGAAATGAAATCTGATTTTTACCTGTTAATGCTGCTGAATAATAATAATATGGAATATTATTAAATTGCTTTTGTTCTCTTAACAGTCATTTAAATGTAATTGGTTATGGCATGTAGACGTCTAAAAATCATCCCATTCCTTTAAAGTTTCTTTTCAAAACAAGTCTTTTTTCCCTCCTGATTGCAAAAATAATGCTTACAGAACAAATTGAAACACATAGAAAAGCCCTGAGAAGAAAGTAAAAATCCCCTGTATTTATACTACTCAAAGGTAACATCTATAAACATTTTGGTATATATACTGTAAGTTTAAAAAATTCTACAATGTTTCTACTGTAATTTAAGAATTTGTGCAAATAAGTTGAGTAAAGCTAAGTTCATCCTGAGCGTCTGAACCTGGAATATAAGGAACTTGAAATTTGTAGGGGTGGGGGTATCTGAATAGAAATAGAAAGTTCTGAAAATTTGGCTGTCTTATTCTAGTTATCTTTTTTTTTTTTTTTTCCTGAATGTTCTTCCTTTCCTTCTCAGCTTTTGCCACTTTTAAGTTTTTTTTTTTAATCAAGATGTTTCACATTTGATATGTTCTTCAGTAATAATAGACTAAAATATAATAAGATGTAGGGAAGCAGAACCTAAACTGTAGGAGGTTAAAAACCAGATGAAGGCCAGGTGTGGTGGCTCACGCCTGTGATCCCAGCACTTTGGGAGGCTGAGGCGGGTGGATCACCTGAGGTCAGGAGTTTGAGACTAGCCTAGCTAACATATAGTGGAACCCTGTCTCTACTAAAAAAGTACAAAAATTAGCTGGGCATGGTGGCGGGCACCTGTAATCCCAGCTACTTGGGAAGCTGAGGCAAGAGAATCACTTGAACCCGGGAGGTGGAGGTTGCAGTGAGCCGAGATCACGCCACTGCATTGCACTCCAGCAACAGAGCAAGACTCCGTCTCAGAAAGAAAAAAAAAAAAAAAAAAAACACAACACCAGATGGAAATAGAAAATCTAAAACCTCTAGCAGAATGAAGCTAGAAAGAATGGAATCTAAACACTGAAATTATACATCTGCTAGGCAGCTGTGCGTTCTTTATTTATAGGTTCTGTTGTGGAAATAGCAAAAGAAACTTTGAAAGAAAAAGATATCTTAAATAGACTAAGCATATATTCTTATCACTGTGATATGCACATTTTTAGCTGTACAGCATGTATTTCATTCTTTTTTTTTTTTTTTGAGACAGAGTCTTACTCTGTCGCCAGGCTGGAGTGAAGTGGTGCGATCTCGGCTCACTGCAACCTGTGCCTCCTGGGTTCAAGCGATTCTCCTGCCTCAGCCTCCTGAGTAGCTAGAATTACAGGCGTCTGCCACTACACCTGGCTAATTTTTGTATTTTTAGTAGAGACAGGGTTTCACCATAATGGCCAGGCTGGTCTCAAACTCCTGACCTCAGATGATCGCCCGCCTCGGCCTCCGAAAGTGCTGGGATTACAAGCGTGAGCCACCGCGCCCAGCCTTTAATTCATCTTTAAATGAATTGTCCCCATTTTCTAGGAGTTATTATCTTTTCTAAAAATAACATAACTTTTTTGGATTAAATTTAGATATCCTATTTATATCTTCAGCATTGAATCAATATTTTATTAAATATACATTAAGGGAGCTTCAGTGATACTAAAAGAGTGTGATGCTGTTGTAAATTTGCCATTGCTTTCCTTTTTGTCAATATTCAAGGATTGTCTTGGACCATGGGCCAAGCCTGAATTGTAAGAAGGAATGGTAAAGCATGGTAACCCATTAAAGGGTAAAGAAATTAAAAAAAAAAAATTGTCAGAGATATACTCTTTAAAGGGCCAGATTTTTTTTATAAGACTTTAAAAAGAATTGATGATTCTTATTTTACACAAAGATTTTTAGAGGAAAGAAAAAGTATGCAAAAGAGAAGATGCTCTTTGAAGCTGGCCATAACCCTGCTGCAAGCAAAATCAGACAAGGATGGACCAGAAAAAGAGAACAATTTCTATTCTCACTTATCGTGTATTTGTAAAATCCCAAGTAAAACACGAGCAAATTGAATCAAACAGTATATTGATACTATCGGATAAAGCTAGCCCAAGATTCAAGGATGATTTGACCTTAGGGATTATATTAGTGTCATTTACACTAAATAAATCTAAGGAGGAAAACAATACAACCATCTCAGTTAATGGTAAAAAATATATTAAATGAAATTAAGTAACTCTTTGTGATAGACTAGTTTTAAGAAAAGAAAGAACCTTCCTCAACCTGATAAAGGGTAATTTTCTACCTGGGGCGTGTAGCAAACCCAACGGGTAAAATACTTCCCGTGAAAGGAAGAACAATACTAAGTTCATTTTTAGTGTTCTTTTTAGTGCTGGAGACCCCAGCCAATGGACTAAGAGAAGCTGAAGCGAAAAAGTTGTAAATATTTGAAGGGAAGGTCAGAATGTGTACTGTTTGTTTATGCTCTTTGCTAAGCATGTAATCTACCTAGAAAAGCCAAGAAAATCGATTGACAAACTGAGAAAACTAATAAATGAGTTCAGTAAGTTGGCTCTACACGTGGTAAACGAGGAAATCCATACATAGGTTCCTGTACACCAGCAATAGCCGTGTGAGAAGTACTGTCACTGTCTGTTACATCTGATAAAACCTGCCTATTAATCTTTGGCCTGCTTGTCAGTTTCTTGTCCCAGACATGCTTTGAGTCATGAGGAGAGCACTCCAGGAGATGAGGCTTTCAGTTTCCTGCTTATCTCAACACGAAAGTCAAATGTTGTGAAGGGTGGACACAAGGCTGATGGTTTCATGACAGCCCCAGAGAGCAAAATTCATTCCCCCTGATGCCCATCTCACCCTGCTATAGAAAGTTTCATTTTTTGGACAGCATTTCCTGAGAGAATGTATCACTGAGTTTTCTGGAGACCTGAGGTCTAATCCTTAGTAATCTGCAGAAATACCAAAGGATATACTAAGGAAAACAGAAAAGGCATTCCTCTAAAAATAGCTAGTTTTTTTTTTAATGTAATAGCTTGCAGTAAACAATGGCAACAATACAGAAAACTGCTTTCCTCCCTACTCTCTTTGCTCTCCCCTCTGTGCTGTTTCCTTTTCCTTGGTAACCAGTGTTGTTACTGTATGTATCTTCCTAAGATTTTCTTTCCATTTACAAAAATGCATATCCATTTTTTGGTGCTTTGTACAGATGGCATCATGCATTGTGCATTGCAGCTTGCCTTTTTCACCTAACATTTTCTCTATCTCCCTCCTTTTCGGCTGCTCACCCTGGGGTTCATTTCCCCGCAGCTCTGTCTGTTCCCTTGGCAGTCCTCTCCCACTGCTCTCCAACTCCTGACACCTTCCATTGTCTCTCTTTTTCTATTTGCCTTCTTGTTCTTAAGGATTCTTAAATGTTTTAAGCAGCCTCTGTTCCCCTTCTTAGACTAATGTTTTTAAATGGGTAAAATACGTAAGACTTGTGAAGGAAAACAATTATTTTGAAATATAGCTATTAACATTTTTAGATATAGTAATACGTTTGTTCTTTTATTAACTTATTAAATAATCCAGGGGTGAGTATAACAACTGCCCTAATTTTTAGATGCTGATGAGCATAAATAATGCTTTGAGTTGCCTGCAGCAAGTAGTTTGATGAGAATATCTGATTTGTTTTTATTACAAAGTCACAGGTGTTGCTAATACTACTGTGTATCCTGCCTACTCTCATAAGTAAAGAAAAATTCAAAGTTCGGTTAGTGAAAATAAAAATGTAATCTTTTTCACATCTAAGGTTATGAACCTCTTGAATTTTGTGAGGCCATGGGCTTCTGAATAAGAACTTCTGCAGTTGAAACTTGGTTCACACTGGAGGACACTGATTGTTTTTTGTAGTCCACTCAAGCAGTGGAATTTTCTGTTGCAGACCCCCTTTCCTTGGGCCTGGAGGGGTTATCCTTTACCCCCTTTGCTACTTCCAGATCACTCTCCCTCCCACCTTCCTTAACATCAAATAGAAAACATGATATTCAATCTCATGATACATCTTGTAGTTTTCCATGGAACCTTGACTGACTTCCTTCTCATTTAATGAAGATTTTGTCTTATATGGCTCATTTTCTCTAGTACTTCTTTATTCTAGTTCTTGATCTCAACATCCAGGTGGGAGACTCTTCCACTACCTTCCTGGCCTCTTAATATCTTGACTTCCTGCAAAGTTTCCACCCTACCTCAGCTATCATGGTCATACCCCAGTTCTGTTATACAATAATAACAAAAAATTATAACCCCTTCCATAATTTCAGTTCTACCCTGATCATCACTTCCCACTTTACTGGCTCATGCCTTCTAGTGCCAACAATTCTTTTATCTCACTGAGACTTAGAACCCATTGACCCTATTATCTTTGCACTGTTCCTCACCATACTCTCTCCTTATGTCCTTACCCTTCTCTTTATTCAGTTTAATTTCTGTTGTTGGTCATGATTGTTCAGTTGCAAATATTCTCAGTACACTTGCCCTCACTTGCTTCATTGCTTAATAGAGAAACCCCAGTTTCTCTATTAAGAACCGCAGTTGGTTAAATCCAACTGTGCCTACTCTACACTTGTACTTTTTAAAAATGTGGTTTAGAAAAATGGATATCAACTGGGCACGGTGGCTCATGCCTGTAATCCCAGCACTTTGGGAAGGCCCAGACAGGAGGATTACTTGAACCCAGGAGTTTGAGATCGGAGTGGACAACATAGTGAAACACTGTGTCTGCAAAAAAATTAAAAAGTTATTTGGGCATGGTGGCATATGCCCGTAGTTCCAGCTACTTGGGAGGCTAAAGTGGGAGGATCACTTGAGCCTGATGAGGTTTAGGTTGCAGTGAGCTGTCATTGCACCACTGTACTCCAGTGGGTGACTGAGCCTGACCCTGTCTCAAAAGAAAAAAAAAAGAACATGTATTTACCCTCTTAACAATTATTAAGTATACATCACAGTGTTACAATATTGTTCATTATTTTATACAACAGATCTCTAGAACTTTTTTTTTGTTCTCTGCAGTTACAAGCTTTTAAAAATTTTATTTTTAGGCCAGGCGCAGTGGCTCATGCCTGTAATCCCAGCACTTTGGAAGGCTGAGGCAGGTGGATCACCTGAGGTTGGGAGTTTGAGACCAGGCTGACCAACATGGAGAAACCCCGTCTCTACTAAAAATACAAAATTAGCCAGGCATGGTGGTGCATGCATGTAATCTCATCTACCGGGGATGCTGAGGCAGGAGAATTGCTTGAACCCAGGAGGCAGAGGTTGCAGTGAGTCAAGATGGTGCCATTGCACTCCAGCCTGGGTAACAAGAGCGAAACTCAAAAAAAAAAAAAAAATTAAATTGACAAATGTACGTATTTAGGGGGTACATAATGTTGACATAAATGTACATATTTATGGGGTATGTAGTGATGTTTTGATACATATAATGCATGACAGGCTTGTCCAACTCATGGCTCATGGGCTACATGTGGCCCAGGATAGCTTCGAATACAGACCAACACAAATTCCTAAACTTTCTTAAAACATGAGATTTTTTTTGCAATTTTTTTTTTTGGTAGCTCATCAGCTATCATTAGTGGATTTTCTTGTTGTTGTTTTATTTAATTTTTTTATTTAAAAAATACATAATTTTTAATAGAAATGGGGTCTCACCATGTTGTCCAGGCCATTCCCAAACTCCTGAGCTCAAGCAGTCTGCTTGCCTTGGCCTCCCAAAGTGCTGGATTACAGATGTGAGCCACCGTGCCTGCCCTGCCGCTAGTGTATTTTATGTGTGGTCCAAGACAATTTTTCTTCTTCCATCGTGGCCCAGGGAAGCCAAAAGATTGGATACCCCTACTGTACAGTGATCAGATCAGGATAATTAGCATATCCATCATCTTAAACATTTATAATTTCTTTTTGTTCGGAACGTTTGATATTCTCCTTCTAGCTATTTGAAACTGTATATTATTGTTCACTATAGCCTTCCTACCGTAGGATAAAGGATAAAGTACTAGAATTTATTCCTCCTGTCTTGCTGTAATTTTGTATCCTTTAACAAATTTCTCCCTGTCCCTCCCTTTCCTCTACCCTTCCTATCCTCTGTTCTGTGTTTTACTTATAAGTTTTTTAGTTTCCACATGAGTGAGAACATGTGGTGATTAACTTTCTGTTCCTGGCTTATTTCATTTAATATAATGTCTTCCAGTTCCATCCATATTGCTGTGAATGAGTGGATTTTATTTATGTATTTTCTTTTTTTTTTTTTTTTTTTAAGTAGAGATGGGGTTTCACCATGTTGGCCAGTCTGATCTTGAACTCCTGACTTCAAGTGATCCATTCCTCTCAGCCTGCCAAAGGGCTGGGATTACAGGCATCAGTCACCATACTCAGCCCAGATTTTATTTTTTATGACTGAGGAGTATTCCACTGTGTATGTATACCATATTTTCTTTATCCATTCCTCTGTTATTAGATGTCCCGTTTGTCTAACCCATATCTAGGCTGTTTGAATAGCAGTAAACATGGGGATGCAGATGTGCCTTCAACAGAATGATTTCCTTTCCTCTGGATAAATTCCTAGTAGTGGAATGCTGGATCATATGGTAATTCTGTTTGTAGTTATTTGAGGAAACTCTGTACTGTTCTGTCTTGTGGCTGTACTAGTTTGTATTCCCACCAATAAAGTGTAAGTGTTCCCTTTTCTCCTGTCCTTGTCAGCACTTGTTACTTTTTAAATTGAATTGTTTATCTTTTTCCCCGTTTGCCCATTTGCCCATTTTTAATTGGATTGTTTATCTTTTTCCTGTTGAGATGTTTGAGTTACTTGTATATTCTGGATATTGGCCATTCTTTTTGATAATAGCCGTTTTAACTGGGGTTAGAGTTGTGGTTTTGATTTGCATTTCCCTGATGATTAGTGCTGTTGAGCTTTATTTATTTATTTAGACAGAATCTTGCTCTGTTGCCCAGGCTGGAATGCTGTGGCCTGATCACTGTCCACTCTAAGCTCAACCTCCTGGGCTTAGGCAATCCTCCTACCTCAACTTCCTGAGTAGCTGGGACTACAGATGTGTGCCAATGGGCCCAGCTAATTTTTAAGAGTTTTTTGGAGAGATTGGGTCTCGCTATGTTGCCCAGGCTTGTCTCAAATTCCTGGCCTTCAGCGATCTTTCAGCATCAGCCTCCCAAAGTGCTGGGACTACAGGTGTGAGCCACCATGCTCTGCCCTTCTTTGTTTTTGTTTTGTGAAAGAGACAGGATCTCCTTGTCACCCAGGCCAGAATGCAGTAGTGCGATCCTAACTCATTATAACCTTGAACTCCTGGCCTCAAGGTATCCTCCCACCTTGGCCTCCCGAACGCTGGGATTACAGGCATGAGCCCCTGGTAATAGCACCTGGCCTATTTCATTTGTTTTTTGGCCATTTTTCTTCTTTTGAGAAATGTGTCTGTTCAGATCATTTGCCCATTTTTTAATTGGATTTGTTTTGCTGTTGAGATGTTTGAGTTACTTGTATATTCTGTATATTAATCCCCTGTTGGATGAGTAGTTTGCAAATATTTTCTCACTTTCTGTAGCTCGTCTCTTCATGATGTTAATGGGTTCTTTTGCTGTGCAGTAGCTTTTTAGTTTAATATAATCCCATTTGTTTATTTTTGCTTTTGATGCCTGTGTTTTTGAGGTTTTACCCATAAAATATTTTCCCAGACCAGTGTCCTAAAATGTTTCCCCTATGTTTTCTTACAGTGGTTTTTATCATTTCAAATCTTTTTTTTTTGAGACGGAGTCTTGCTCTGTCGCTCAGGCTGGAGTGCAGTGGCACGATCTCGGCTCACTGCAACCTCCGCCTCCCAGGTTCAAGCAATTCTCCTGCCTCAGCCTCCCGAGTAGCTGGGATTACAGGCGTGCACCACCACGCCCGGCTAATTTTTGTATTTTTAGTGGAGACGGGGTTTCACCATGTTGGTCAGGCTGGTCTCGAGTTCCTGACCTCATGATCCTCCTGCCTCCGCCTCCCAAAGTGCTGGGATTACAGGCGTGAGCGTGAGCCACCACGCCTGGCTAAGGATTTATAATAGATTTAAAGCATTCTGATGGGCAAAGAACCAGGGAAAGGAAAGTCAAAGGCAGTACTGTCCAATATGACATGTAATTTTAAACTTTCTAGTTGCCACATTAAAAAAGTAAAAATAATCGTGTGAAATCAGTTTTGTTTTTTCAATTGAGACAAGGTCTCACCACGTTGCCCAGGCTGGTCTCAAGCTACTTGGGCTCAAGCAATCCTCCCACAGTGCTGGGATTACAGGTGTGAGCCACCGTGCCTGGCCAAAATCAGTTTTAATATATTTCTTTAATCTAATATATCCCTAACAGTATCACCATGTTGGTCAAGCTGGTCTCGAACTCTTGACCTGGTGATCCGCCCGCCTTGGCCTCGCAAAGTACTGGGATTACAGGCGTGAGACACCATGCCCGGCTCTCATTTCGAATCTTACACTTAGGTCTTTGATTTCTTTTGAGTTGATTTTTGTATAGGGTGAGTGTTGGGCGTCTGCTTTTATTCTTCTGCATATGGATATCCATTTTTCCCAGCACCATTTATTGAAGAGACTGTCTTTTTCCCAATGAGTGTTTTTGGCACTTTTGTGAGAAATCCGCTGGCTGTAGATAGGTAGATTAATTTCTGGGTTCTCTGTTTTGTTCCATTAGTGTATGTATCTGTTTTTAATGCTGCACCATGCTGTTTTGGTTACTACAGCCTTGTAGTATATTTTCAGGTGTTGTATTGTGATACCTCCAACTTTTTGCTCAGGGTTGCTTTGGTTATTCGGGGGCTTTTGTGGTTCTGTACAAATTTTAGGATTTGTTTTTCCGTGAAGAATGTCATTGGTATTTTGATAGGGATTGCATTGGATCTGTAGATTGCTTTGTGTAGTATTTCTGGCACTTTCTCATCTTGCCTGACTGAAACTCTGTACTTTAGAGCAACTCCCTATTTCCCTCTCCCTTCAGCTCCTGGCAACCACCAGTCTACCATTTTACTTTCTGTCTCTATGAGTTTGATTATTTAAGATACCTCATGTAAGTGGAATTATGCAGTACTTGTTGTTTTATGATTGGCGTATTTCACTTAGCATAAAGTCCCCATGGTTCATCCATTTTGTAGCATATGACAGGATTTCTTTTTTTTTTTTTTTTTTTTTTTGAGATGGAGTCTCACTCTGTCACCCAGGCAGGCTGGAGTGCAGTGGCGCGATCTGGGCTCACTGCAACCCCCGCCTCCCAGGTTCAAGTGATTCTTCTGCCTCAGCCTCCTAAGTAGCTGGGATTACAGGCATGAGCCACCACGCCTAATTTTTGTATTTTTGGTAGAGACGGGGTTTCACTACGTTGGTCAGCCTGGTCTTGAACTCCTGACCTCAGGTGATCCTCCCGCCTCGGCCTCCCAAAGTGCTGGGATTACAGGTGTGAGCCATCATGCCAGGTCCAGGATTTCTTTAGGGCTGAATAATATCCAGTTGTGTATATGTACCACATTTGTTGATCCATTTATCTGTTGAGAGACACAAGTTAATTACACGTTTTGGCTATTGTAGTGAATAGTGCTGCAGTGGACAAGAGTATGTAAATATCTCTTCGAGATCCTGTTTTCAATTTTTTTAGATATATACTGAGAAGTGGGATTTCTGGATCATCTGGTATTCCATTTTAAATTTTTTGAGGAACGTCCATACTGTTTTTCATAGTGATTGTACTGTTTTATAGTCCCACCAACAATGCACAGGAGTTCTAATTCCTCCACATCCTTGCCAACACTTGGTTTTCTGTTTTTTTGTTTTTTGTTTTTTTTTGATAGAGGTAATTTTAACTGGTGTGAGGTGATACCTCAGTGTGATTTGATGTGAGTTTTGCCGATGATTAGTGATGTTGAGTAGCTTTTCATATTTTTTTTGGCCATTTATGTATCTTCTTTGTAAAAATGTCTATTCAAGTCCTTAGCTCATTTTAAAGTTGTGTTATTTGTGGTTTTTGTTTTGTTACTGAGTTGTAGGAGTTTTTTTTTTATTCTGGATATTAAACCCCTATCCAATACATGATTTGCAAATATTTTCTCTCATTCTGTAGGTTGCCTTTTCACTCTTCCTTGGTTTCATTCTGGTTTTGGTTGATTGCTTGCCTTGCTGCACAGAAGTTTGTAAGTTTGATGTAATTCTGTGTCTATTTTTGCCTTTGTTGCCTGTGCTTTTTGTTTTGCAGCCAAGAAATCATTGCCAAATTCAGTATCATGAAGCTTCTCTATGTTTCCTTCTAGTTTTATGGTTTCAGGTCTTATGTTTAGGTCTTTAATCAATTTTTAGTTATTTTTTATTTATGGTTTAAGATAAGGATCCATCTTCATTCTGTTGCATGTGGACATCCAGTTTTTCCAGCACTATTTGTTGAAGAGATTATTCTTTCCCCATTGCGTAGTCTTGGCTCATCATTTGACCACATACACAGGGGTTTATATCTGGGCTGTCTGTTCTGTTCCATTGGTTTACATGTCTGTATGCTAGTACTATTTTGATCACTGTAGCTTTGTAACAAGTTTTGAAATCAGAAAGTGTGAAGCCTACAGTTTTGTTCTTAATCAAGGTTGTTTTGGCTATTTGGGGTCCTTTGAGATTACTTACTGATTTCAGGATGGCTTTTTCTCATTTTGCAAAAAATGACACTGAAATTTGATAGAGATTGCATTGAATCAGTAGATTACTTTGGATAGTATGTACATTTTAACAATATAAGGTCTTCCAGTCCTTGAACATGAGATGTCTTTCCCATTTGTGTGTTTAATTTTTTCCTCAGTTTTTTGTCATTTTTAGTGTACAAGTCTTTTGCCTCCTTGACGTTTATTTTTAAGTATTTTATTTTAGTTTTACTTTATTTTTTTAGAAACGGGATCTCGTTCTGTCACCCAGGTTGGAGTGCAGTGGCGTGATCATGGCTCACTGCCACCTCCCACTGCTGGGCTCAAGAGATCCTCCTGCCTCAGCCTTCCGCGTAGCTGGGACTACAGGCCTGCATCACCATGACCAGCTAACTTTTAAATTTTTTGTACAGATGGGGTCTTGCCATCTTGCCCAAGCTGGTCTCGAAGTGCTGGAATTACAGGTGTGAGCCACTGTGCTGGCCTTATTCTTAAGTATTATTCATTTTGATGTTATTATAAATGGAGTTATTTTCTTAATTTCCTTTTTGTGTTGTTTATTGTTAATGTATAGAAATGCAACTTATTTTTGTGTGTTGACTTTGTATCCTCCTGCTTTGCTTAGTTTATTATAATAGTTCTAACAGTTTTTTTGTGAAACCCTTAGGGTTTTTCATGTATAAAATCATGTCTTCTGTGAATGGAGATAATTTTACTTCTTCCTTTCCAATTTGGATGCCTTTTTTTCTTGCCTCCTTTTTCTGATTGTACTGTGTTGAGTAGAAGTGGTGAGAGTGGACTTCCTAGTCTTGTTCCTGATCTTAGAGGGAAAGCTTTCAGTTTTTCACCATTGTAATGTTTGCTGTGGACTTTTTATGTATGGTCTTTATTATGTTCAGGTAATTTCCTTCTATTCCTTCCTAGTTTGTTGAGTGTTTTTATCATGAAAGGTGTTGAATTTTGTCAGATGCTTTTTCTGCACCAGTTCAGATTGTTACATGATTTTTGTCCTTCATTCGGTTAATGTGGTGTATTACATTTACTGATTTTTGTGTGTTGAGCCATCCTTGCATCCTAGGAATAAGGCTCCCTCAGTCATCGTGTATGATTTTAATATGCCTTTGAATTTGGTTTGGTAACATTTTTTGAGAATATGTGCATCAAAGTTTAGAAGTGTTTCTTCAGTTTTTTTGGTGAGACTTTGAGGAGGTTTGGTATTAATTTTTCTCTAAACGTTTGGTAGAATTCCCCAGTGAAGCTATCTGGTCCTGGGCTTTTTTTGTTGTTGGGAAGTTTTTAAAATTACTGAGTCAGTTTCCTTACTAGTTATAGGTTTGTTAAGATTTTCTGTTTCTTCGTGATTCAGTCCTGGCAGGTTGTGTGTTTCTAATAATTCATCCATTTCTTCTAGGTTGTCTAAATTGTTGGCATGTGATCGTTCATAGTAGTCTCTTATCCTTTTCATTTCTGTGGCATTTGTTGTAATGTCCCCTCTTTCATTTCTGATTTTAATTATTTGAGTCTTGTTTTTTTTTCTTAAATCTGGCTAAGGATTTGTCAATTTTATTGATCTTATTTAAGATCTTTTTAAATGTAGGCATTTACTGCTATAAACTTCCCTCTTAGCACGGCTTTTCTGTATCCCTTAAGTTTTGGAATGTTCTGTTTTCTTCTTCATTTGTCTCAAGATGTTTTCTAAACTGCCTTGTGATTTCTTCTTTGAGTCATTAGTTTTTCAAAAGTGTGTTAAATATTTGTGAATTTTTTAGTTTTCCTACTGCTTTTGATTTCCCATTGTGGTCAGAAAAGATACTTGCTATGATTTCAGTCTTCTTAAATTTGCTAAGACTTGTTCTGTGGCCTAACATGTGATCTGTCTTGGAGAATGTTGCATGTGTACTTGAGAAAATGTGTATTCAGCTAGTGTTGGGTGTAGTGTTTTTTTGTTTGTTTGTTTTTGAGATGGAGTTTCCGCTCTTGTTGCCCAGGCTGCAGTGCAGTGGTGGGAACTCAGCCCACCGCAATCTGCGCCTCCTGGGTTCAAGTGATTCTCCTGCCTCACCTTCCCGAGTAGCTGGGATTATAGGCATGTGCCACCACATCTAGCTAATTTTGTATTTTTAGTAGAGACAGGGTTTCTCCAATTTGGTCAGGCTGGTCCCGAACTCCTGACCTCAGGTGATCTGCCCACTTGGCCTCCCAAAGCTGGGATTATAGGCGTGAGCCACTGCGCCCGGCCGGGTATAGTGTTCTTTATGTGTCCGTTAGTTCCAGTTACTCTCCAGTGTTCAAATTCTGTGTCTCCTCATTGATCCGCTCTCCGGTGGTTCTGTCCATTATTGAAAGTGGGGATACTGAAATCTCCTGCTGTTACTGGGTTACTGTCTGTTTTTTCTTTCAATTCTGTCAGTGTTTGCCTTGTTATATTTGGGTGCTCTGGTTCTGCACTTGCACCTTTACAGCTGCGCTTGGCTGGAGAATTAACTTGGCTGATTGGCCTTACCACTAATTACCACTAAGTTCAGGAGAGTCCTTAAAACTGCACAGCAGTAGTTCCTAGTTCATTTATTCTCCCAGTGTGACCTAAATGATCATTTAGACCTGCTCCTTCTCAATCCTTCAACGTCACTTTCACCGTCTTTAGCACACAACTTTGCTTTTCATTTTGTTGAGAAAACAGATACCACAAGAAAAATATCTGCAAAGCTCCTGCCACTACTGCCTGTGTCTGTGCTTCATGTATTCTCACATCCCTCAATTATTACGGAATGAACTGACCATGCTTCTAGCCAGGGCCAAAACCTGCACTGTGCTCACTCAGCCCTTGCCTCTACACTCTGCAGGGTCATTCTCCTCCACAACAACATACTGTTGTTTCTCTCATCTTAAAACACAACAAAACTTCTCTGAACTCCATTTTTCCTTCTAACCGTTGTTCATTTCCCACCCCGACCCCTTTTTTCCCTAAAAGAAGTATCTGCACTTTGTTTCCAATTTTTCTCCTCCTGATATTTCAGGAGGCTTTCCCTCCCAGCACCCTGTTTCTTGCACTGCTCTTGCGAGGTCAGCTCTGACCCTACCTTTCTCATCCTTGAATTATTTGACCTAGTAACAGTATTTGACACTGGTGATTACTTATTTCCTGCTCGTTGAAACACTTTGTTCACTTGGCTTCCAGGATAGCATACAAAGAAATTCCCCATCTCAGTCTTTTGTCACAGAGTCCCTCCAGGGCTCAGTCCTTAGACCTCTGTTTTAACTATGCTCATTTCCTTGTTGATCTTATTTGACCCACTGGCTTTGAAACCCTCTTTGTTTTAAAGTTTGACGGAAGTCCAAATTTTAAATCTCCAGCCTGAGCCGCTTCTTTGAAATGCAGACTTATGTTCCACCTGGATGTCTAATAGGCAAATGAAATGCAGCTTTCTCTAAAGGGAACTTATTCTTCCTCCAGTAACTTAATGGGCCATGCTTAGAATGGCTCTTTTTGTCCAAGAAAATTCAAAACCAAAACCAAATCTATTTTCTTCTGCTTTAACATCAGTCTACAGATTATTTTTGGTCTAAAGCATGAGATAGGGCTTTTTATTTATTTTTAATCAGGCGGCTAGCTAGTTTCTTAACAGTATTGAATAATATATTTTTAATTGTTTGAATTGTCATCTTTATTGTTCTGAGAATAATATCAAGGATTTAAGTGAAATTGCCATCTAATGTTTGCATTATAGATTTCATGCCCCTTTAAAACATGTGTTATATCAATTGAGAGCACACTCTTATAAAGTACAATCAATGATAATCAATGGATTTTTTAAAAAAGAACTAAATAAGTTGCATAAGAGCACAGAAACAAACTTTAAATTTAGCATTTAATAGACCAGGAACAACACACCAGTAAAGAAAGGGGTCACTAATTACTGTTTGGATACTTGGATTTTAGTTTGAAAAATAAGTAAAATTTACATAGTAAAAAGCAATAAAGTAAATTTAACACGGAAAGTAACAATGGAGTATGAAATATATGACCAAACTAATGGAAGTTTCTGTCTAAAATAAAAGATCTATTTGTAGGGTAAGTAATTAGATTGGGAGTAAAAGGCAGAAATAGTAAAATCATCACATGCACAAATGCTGTCTGTATTTAATCCCAGTTAAAGACATGGGAAATAAGATAACCCTAAGGCTATAATGCTCACCTATTAAACTGACAGAAGTATGTAATATGAGGAAATAGCATGTCTTGTTTGGTCAGTGTATTAGTCGATTCTCACATTGATACAAAGAAATACCAAAGACTGGGTAGTTTATAAAGAAAAGAGAATTAATGGACTCACAGTAATGCAGGCTATACAGGAGGCATGGCTGGAGAGGCCTCAGGAAACTTACAATCATGGCAGAAGGGGAAGAGGAAGCAGGCCTATCTTCACATGACAGCAGGAGAGACAGCAAAGAGGGGAATGCCACATGCTTCCAGATCTCTTGAGAACTCACTATCATGAGTACAGCAAGGGGGAAATCTGCCCCCCCCCATAATCCAATCATCTCCCAGCAGGCCCCACCTCTAACACTCAGGATCACAGTTCAACATGAGATTTGGGTGGGAACACAGAGCCAAGCCATGTCAGTCAGTATCATAAATTGGTTCAACCATAGAGGAAGAGAATTTGACTAAATACATATTTTAGGGAAAAGGGAAGTACTGTGGGCTCAGCGGTTTGATCTTAAAATTTCTATGCAGTGATGGCATACTATATTCCTAATCTAACTAGGGTTTGTTTCAAGGGAATTAGGGATAAGGTGAGTAAGCTAGTAAACCCAAGGCAAAATTTCTTAATGCTTTTTAAAATTTAAAAAAGAGGCCCATTCCGTTAGAGCATACATTGAATCAAATGTTTCATGTAAAACAGGATGGAAATGAACTTTTCTATTTGGCTAAGTGGTGTAGGCAGAAAAACCTATAGGCTTTCTCTTTTCATCAACTTCATGCTGAGTCCTGTCTCATTTTATTATTTACACAATTGAAATATAAAAAATTGTTCCCAAATGATGCCCCCCATACCCTAAGTTTAGGGGGCAGTAGTGTAAAGCAGTGTCCAGACATTGGTCTTAGGGCTGGAGTGGAAACAGACTCCTAGAGGTGCACAAGCACATGGATAATTTTACCTGAATCAATTTCCAAATCCTAAACTTTAAATGTCTCTTTTTTGAAGCATTTCTTCCTTTGAACCAGTGTTCAAGCGGTTCTTCCCTTTTTATTTTTTGATGTGGAGTTTGGCTCTTGTCACCCAGGTTGGAGTTGCAATAGTGTGATCTCGGCTCACTGTAACCTCCGCCTCCTGGGTTCACGCGACTCTCCTGCTTCAGCCTCCTGAGTAGCTGGGATTACAGGTGCCTGCACCATGCCCGGCTTATTTTTGTATTTTTAGTAGAGATAGGGTTTCATCATATTGGCCAGGCTGGTCTCGAACTCCTGACCTTAGGCGATTCACCCACCTCAGTCTCCCAAAGTGCTGGGATTACAGTTGTGAGCCACTGCGCCCAGTTCTGTTTTCAAATTCCTTTCCACCATGGCTTTTTCCATTATTAAAAAAAATGGCATAACTCTTCCTCTGACCCTTCTCTTACCATGATGCACTTGCCTTGTAGTGGGAAAACCTCAGGGATGAAAAGGGTGTCAGGACAATTCTAAGACACCAATGGAATAGTGCTGGAAGAATTAGATATTCAGTTGCAAAAGAATGCAATTAGACCTTTACCTCATACCATAAACAAAAATCAACTCAAAATGAATCAAAAACCTAAATGTAAGAGCTAAAACCATAAAAATCTTAGAAGAAAACATAGGTATAAATCTTGGTGACCTTGGATTAGGCAGTGATTTCTTCAATATGACAACAAAGCACAAGCAATCAGAAAAAAGTAGATAAATTAAACTTTATCAAAATTAAAAACCTGTGTGCATAAAAGGACGCTGTCGAGTGAGAAAACAAGCCATAGAATGGGAGAAAATACTGTAAAATATATTTGATAAGCAGCTTGTGTCTAGAATACATAAAGAACACATAACTGGCTGGGCGCCGTGGCTCACACCTGTAATTCCAGCACTTTGGGAGACTGAGGTGGGCGGATCACTTGAGGTCAGGAGTTCGAGACCAGCCTGGCCAACATGGTGAAACGCCATCTCTGCTAGAAATACAAAAATTAGCTGGGTGTGATGGTGGGCACCTATAATCCCAGCTGCTTGGGAGGCTGAGGTAGGAGAATTGCTTGAACCTGGAAGGCAGAGGTTGCAGTGAGCCAAAATCATGCCACTGCACTCCATCCTGGGTGACAGAGTGAAAACTCTGTCTTAGAAAAAAAAAACAAACAAACACGTAACTAACTTAGAAAACCAAAAATCTAATTTAAAAACAGGCAAAGGATTCAGATAGACATTACTCCAAAGAAGATGTACAAATGGCTACATAAGCTCATGAAAATAATGTCGTTAGTCATTAGAAATATAAATCAAAGGCTGGGCACGGTGGCTCACGCCTGTAATCCTAGCACTTTGGGAGGCCGAGGAGGGCAGATCATGAGGTCAGGAGATCGAGACCATCCTGGCTAACACAGCGAAACCCCGTCTCCACTAAAAATACAAAAAATTAGCCGGGCGTGGTGGCAGGTTCCTGTAGTCCCAGCTACTCAAGAGGCTGAAGCAGGAGAATGGCGTGAACCCAGGAGGCAGAGCTTGCAGTGAGCCGAGATCTTGCCACTGCCACTGCACTCCAGCCTGGACGACAGAGCGAGACTCTGTCTCCAAAAAAAAAAAAAAAAAAAAAAAAAAATATATATATATATATATATATATATATATATATATATATATATATATCAAAACCACAATGAGATTCTGCTTCTTACCCACTAGGATGTCTATAATCAAAAAGATAGATAATAACAAATGCTGGTAAGGATATGGAGAAATGGGAACCTCCAGACACTATTTGTGGGAATATAAAATCGTGCAGCTGGTCTGGAAACAGATTAGCAGTTCCTCAAAAAGCTAAATGTTGAGTTTCCATATGATCCAGCAGTTCCACTCCTAGATATATATCCAAAAGCATTAAAAACATGTTCACACAAAAATTTGTGCATGAAAGTTTACAGCAGCATTATTCATAATAGGAGGAAACAACCCAAATGTCCAACCGATAAATAGATAAACAAAATGTGGTCTGTCTAGGCAATGGAATATTACTCACCCATGAAAAGAAATGAAGTACTCACTCATTTTACAACATAGATGAATTTTGAAAACATTAATGCAGGTTGAAAGAAGTCAGTCACAAAATATCGTATGTTGTATTATTCTTATTTTTATGAAAGGTCCGGAAAAGGTAAGTCCACAGAGAAAGTAGATTAGTGATAAAAATGTACTGGAATTAGTGTTGATGGTTGCACAACTTTGTGAATATGCCGATAGCTACTGAACTGCACACTTTAAAAGAGTGAATTTTATTATACGTCAATTATATCTCCAAAGAATGGAATAAAGCCTCAGGGGCCCCCAAAGTGGTGATTCCAAATATTGGTTTTAGTGTTAAGAAAATGAATGGCCATAGCCTTTGGAGAACAAATCCTTTCATGGTTTTTCAGTTTTCCACTTCTAACAAAATTGAAGGATCAATTCCAATATTTACAAATAATAAATGTGTTAGCTACTAAATCATTTAAAATATTTCTGGTGGAAAACAACTATGTAATTTTCAACAGATAACTCAGAAGAAATTTTAAAAGTCATGTGACCCAACTGACAGAATTCCTTTTATTTCCATCACCTGTTTATATGAGCAAGCCTTCTCAGTGCTTGCTTTTTTTTTTTTTTTGAGACAAAGTCTCGCTCTGTTTCCCAGGCTGGAGTGCAGTGGTGCGATCTCGGCTCACTGCAAGCTCCGCCTCCTGGGTTCAAGCAATTCTTCTGCCTCAGCCTCTTGAGTAGCTGGGACTACAGGCACGTGCCACCATGCCTGGCTAATTTTTTGTATTTTTAGTAGAGACGGGGTTTCACCATGTTGGCCAGGCTGGTCTCAATCTCCTCACCTCGTGATGTCCCCGCCTCGGCCTCCCAAAGTGCTGGGATTACAGGCGTGAGCCACCGCACCCAGCCCTCAGTGCTTTCTTGAAACACACGCACAGAAAAGTAGAAATTCACTAAGTGATGTCTGATTTTAGCAATAATTATTCAAAGAGATACATGAACTAATGAAGAAAAAAAAAAAGCCCTGTCCATCTCATTAAGAGACGTACATTTCCAGTAATTTTTCTTTCCTTCTTTACTTCCTTCCTCCCTCCCTCCCTCCCTCCCTCCCTTCCTTCCTTCCTTCCTTCCCTCCCTCCCTCCCTCTTGCTCTGTTGCCCAGGCTGGAGTGCAGTGGTGCACTATTTTGGCTCACTGCAACCTCTGCCCCTGGGTTCAAGCATTTCTCCCATGTCAGCCTTCCCGAGTAGCTGGGACTACAGATGTGTGCCACCATGCCTGGCTTTTTTTTTTTTGCTAGAGATGGGGGTTTCACCACGTTGGCCAGGCTGGTCTCAAACTCCTGACCTCAAGTGATCGCCTGCTTTGGCCTCCCGGAAGTGCTGGGATTATAGGCGTGAGCCACTGTTCCCAGCCTCCAGTAGAATTTTTACCTTTAATGTTGTTAATTACTGTCAGATCTTTTTTTTTTTTTTTTTTTTTTTTAGATGGACTCTTACTCTGTTGCTAGGCTGGAGTGCTGTGGCATGATCTCTGCTCACTGCAACCTCCAACTCCCTGGTTCAAGCAATTCTCCTACCTCAGCCTCCCGAGTAGCTGGGATTACGGGCACACGCCACCATGCCTAGCTAATTTTTGTATTTTTAGTAGAGATGGGTTTCACCATGTTAGCCAGGATGGTCTTGATCTCCTGACATTGTGGTCCGCTTGCCTCAGCTTCCCAGAGTGCTGGGATTACAGGCATGAGCCAGCATGCCTGGCCTACTGTCAGATCTTTAATGTTTGCCATTTAAATGAATTGCATACTGCTAAAAATTATAATGGTAATTGAATTCAAAATAATTTTTTAAACACTTAGAAGCTTCTTTATGGTCAGGAAATTTAAAATGTTTTTCATTTAAACATCAGACAGGCTGGGTGCAGTGGCTCAAACCTGTAATCCCATCACTTTGGGAGGCCAAGGCAGGAGGATTGCTTGAGTCCAGGAGTTTGAAACCAACCAGGGCAACATAGGGAGAATCTGTCTCTATAAAACAAACAAACAAACAGAACTTCAGACATGTATGACTGAGTGACTAATAAGACTTCCAAGCATTAGCAATTACTATATGCAGGGCAAATGTACTGGAAATATGAATTCAAGGAGGAAAATATGCTGTGAAAATTTCACTTTAAAATGGATCATGATGGGTATCAGATCACAATTGTATTTGGATTCTGTTGAAGAGATTTAAGGTTGATATTACAGTGACCTTGCTAAATTATATTGCTGTTCTGTGCTCTGTTTCCCTATATATAAATGGGATAATAATAGCACCTATATCAAGGAGTAATTTATTATTATGTCTAGTGCAGCTTCTTGGCAAATACTCTGTTCAGTGATTCACATTCTGTTTAATAGCCCACTGCTTTGTTTCTTTCTGGTAAGTCTTCTGCCTTAATGCAGTCTTCTCTAGCTACTATGTGTCCTTTTTTCATCCTCCTGATCTATACCCCCCCCCACCCCCCGCCACCCCACACACACATGGTGGTGTGGACAAGGCAAAAAAGAAAGTTAGCTGGATTTATGTTTCGGAATTTCAGGGCTTTGTATTTACAGTTGACTTGTTAGGAGAAGAGGAAGAAGAATTAAAAAGTATAGCATTGGGCCAGAATATCATTAAGCAGTAAGATCACATTGAGTTGTATAGGGAAGGGTACCTGTATTTTTATTTCATCTGTACTGGAGACAGGATTTCTGATGACACGCTTGCTCACTGACAGTTTTTTTTTTTTTTTGAGATGGAGTTTCGCTGTTGTTGCCCAGGCTGGAGTGCAATGGCGTGATCTCGGCTCTCTGCAACCTCTGCCTCCCGGATTCAAGCGATTCTCCTGTCTCAGCCTCCCGAGTAGCTGGGATTACAGGTGCATGCCACCACGCCTAGCTAATTTTTGTATTTTTAGTAGAGACAGGGTTTCATCATATTGATCAGGCTGGTCTCAGGTGATCTGCCTGCCTCGGCCTCCCAAAGTGCTGGGATTACAGGTGAGCCACTGCGCCAGGCCTGACAGATAGTTTTTTTAGATGGTGTAAGACAGTGTCAATTATGTAGTGTAGTTGGTATATTTTCTGTTGTTACTGTAACAAATTACCATACTTTTAGTGGTTTATAGAGCACAAATTTATTATCTTATGGTTCTGCAGGTCAGAAGTCCAACACAGGTCTCACTAGGCTAAGATGCAGGTGTCTACAGGGCCGTGTTCCTTTCGGGAAGTTCTAAGGAAGTATGGATTCTGTGCCTCTTACAGCCTCTAGAGGCTGGCTGCATTCCTGGATCAGGCTCCCCTTCCTGTTCACCTTCACAGTCAGCAAGGTGACATGGCTCTGACCTCCTGTCATCTCTTTCCCACCGTACTTGGGAGAAGTTCTCTGCTTTTAAGGACCATGTGAGTAGATTGGTCCCAACAAGCTCATCCAGGATAATCGCCCCATCTCAGGTTTTGGACCCTTAGTCACACATCTGCAAAGTCCCTTTTGCCATTTAAATAACATATTCATAGGTTACAGGGATTAGGATGTGAATGTCTGCAGGGGCCATTATCCTGCTACCACAGTTGGTTTTTAGTCAGCTACATAATTTTGAACTGTTAATTTTATCTATTTTTTTTTTATGACAGTTGTGGTTAGAGGTGAGGCTTGGATTGGTCCTGGCCTGAATCTTGTTCTGCTGTGTAGCAGCACTGTGACGTTAGGCAAGTTTCTTCTCTGTACTTGTTTCTTCTTTGGTGAAATCAAGATAGTAATGCTTGTCTGTATGTACTGAAATAAAGTAATAGTTTAGGGTTCTAGATGGGAGGCAAGAGATTTCTACCAATCTTTTTGTGTCTGTCTCAAATAAGCAAATATGTGATCACCTAACTCACAAGGTTGTTGTGAAGATCAAATTAAGTCATCAAGTTAGAGTGCCTTTTGAAATGTATAAAAAGTATATAACATTTTGTTGGTATTAATTTTAGAATGGCTTTTAAGATTTTTGTCAAAGGTGAGAACGTTCAGTACATTCTTTGATACCTGCCTAGCAACTATTTTTAGGTTTCTATTCCTTTCCAGATTTTCAGATTCACATATTTCCTTTATTAAATTATGGTAAATGAAAAGATAATATGAGAATTAAAAGTAATGACTTCTGTGATTCGTATAGTCACTAGGATTTAAAATTCAAATTTATCTATATCTATATCTATAGATATAGATATATAGATATAGATATAGTTTTTTTTTTTTAGATAGAGAGTTTCGCTCTTGTTTCCCAGGATGGAGTGCAATGGTGCCATCTTGACTCACCGCACACTCCACCTCCTTGGTTCAAGCAGTTCTCCTGCCTCAGCCTCCCGAGTAGCTGGGATTACAGGCATGCACCACCACAACTAGCTAATTTTGTATTTTTAGTAGAGATGGGGTTTCTCCATGTTGGTCAGGCTGGTCTTGAACTCCCGACCTCAGGTGATCTGCCTGCTTCTGCCTCCCAAAGTGCTGGGATTATAGGGGTGAGCCACCACTCCTGGCCTATCTAGATAATTTTTAATCTTTATTTTTTTTTTTCTGTAGACTTATTTGGAGCTATACTATATGTGTTGTAGAAGCAAAATAAATACTAAGTCTACCTTGCATTAGTAAGACTGATTTTTCTTAAATCCTGAGCTACATTTAAAATCTTGGTTAGTAGACATTTTACTCAGATAGTGATTCATTTATAATTGGCTTGTCTAAGTACTCAGTGTTTGACAAAAATATCACTATGTTAAGCAAAAACCATATTTAAAAAGTGATTTGTTTTTTTTTTTTCCTAACGCTGTAACAGTGAATAGATCTTTTTCCCCTAAGCAGCACAAAGATGCCATTTTGGGAGGTTAAATTACTTTCTAAAAGTTGCTGTGAAGGAGAGAAGGAAAAGAGATCAGGTTACACATTCTTTGTTCCTGAGCCTACCACTGCACACGTTCAGAGAAGCAATAGTGAGGCTAGAGTATGCATTTGCCACTATGTCTTCAACCCTTCCCCATAGTAGGGAGGGAGGGAATTAGGCAGTTTTCCTAACAGGGCCCCGAAGAGTACCATTTTAACTTAAATACTCTTAAAAGTTGCTACTTATTTTTTTTAAGGCTTTCTTTACTTTTTTATAATTTAGCATTTCAAGTAATCCAAATAGTTATTTCTTTGTATATTCAGAGGTATTTAAAAATATTTTCTTTGAGAGCTTAAAGGTTATAGTTTAATAATGCAGTTAAACATCAATTTATCTCAAATTGATATTGAGTTAAATTTAAAGAGTATTTTAAATTATATTTTGAGGGGAAAAAAATAACTTTCTTGGCACAAAATGGCCATGAATTAGATTGTGTGTTTCAGAAAGGTAGTGGTAAAAAGTCCCCAAAGCAGTTACAATATTTCTTTTGTTCTGTTTCCTTGCTACTCTTAGATAAATGAAGAGTTTGAAAAGAATTTTCACATAAAAACGTCATAAAATCCCAGTGCCATATTCTGAATATTAATTTGACTGTTTTATGTCGTATTTTTTTCCCAGTTGGTTTTAGTTAGAATATATGCTTTTTTTTAAGCCTTTAAGGAATTAAACAATTTTGGTTATTAAAGTTTAAATGTATTTCATAAATATGTATTTATAAATATGTGACTGGTCCCTTTTCTGAGGGGTTAGGAAGTTTAAGCATTATTTGTAAGCTATTTGTAAATCCCTGTCAAACATTATTTGTCCATTAAGAAATACTATTTTTTTCTTCACTTTTAGGTCATTTTAAGTATTAATAATGTTCATCAATTTACTTACTACCCTTCTGAAGAAAGTCACTATAATTAGTAATCAGAATTATATCACATAAATTTAGGCACATTTATTTATTTATTTATTTATTTATTTATTTATTTATTTTTAGTATTTTGAGAGTAGGTGCTGTATTTTCTTTTCTTTCCTTGTTTCTTCTTTTTTGTTTTTTGAGACAGAATCTCTCTCTGTTGCCCAGGCTGGAGTACAGTGGCATGATCTCAGTTCACTGCAACTTCCCCCTCCTAGGCTCTAGCAGTGCTTCCACCTCAGCCTCCCAAGTAGCTGGGACCAGCTCACGCTACCACTCCAGCTAATTTTTGTATTTTTTGTAGAGACAGGGTTTTGCCATGTCACCGAGACTGAGTTACTGTATTTTCTTAGCAGAATATTGTCCCAGTGAGCTTTTTCCAAAAGAGAAAAGGTACAGCCAATAAAAGTTTGTGGTTGGGTATTGGGAGTTGGTGTTGTTCTGTTTTGTCCTGTTCATAAAAGTTTTATTCTCTTTAGCTCTCATGCTTTAGTTCTAATTTATTCACAGATTTTTGCCCAGTAACTTGATTTTATACTTGGCTTTCTATATTGTGGCTCCAATTTTTCTTCCCAGTTTATACTCTTATTTTTCCTTTCTTTTTCTTTTCTTTTCTTTTTTTTTTTTTTTTGAGACAGTCTTGCTCTGTCGCCCAGGCTGGAGTGCAGTGGCGCGATCTCTGCTCACTGCAGCCTCCGCCTCCCAAGTTCAAGCAATTCTCCTGCCTCAGCCTCCAGAGCAGCTGGGATTACAGGCGCCTGCCACCAAGCCCGGCTAATTTTTTTTTTTTTTTTTGAGACGGAGTCTTGCTCTGTTGTCTGGGCTGGAGTGTAGTGGCCCAATCTCGGTTCACTGCAACCTCCACCTCCTGGGTTCAAGTGATTCTCCTGCCTCAGCCTCCTGAGTAGCTGGGATTACAGGCGCCCACCACTATGTCCAGCTAATTTTTTGTATTTTTAGTAGAGATGGGGTTTCGCAGTGTTGGTTGGGCTGGTCTTGGAACTCCTGGCCTCGTGATTCGCCCACTTCGGCCTCCCTGAGTGTTGGGATTACAGGCATGAACTACTGCGCCCAGCCAATTTTTGTATTTTTAGTAGAGACGAGGTTTCACCACGTTGGCCAGCCTGGTCTTGAACTCCTGACCTCAAGTGATCCGCCCACCTCAGCCTCCCAAAGTGCTGGGGATTACAGGCGTGAGCCACCGTGCCCGGCCAGAATTTGAACTTTAATTCTTCAAATTGTATAGCATTTTCAGGTACCATCGAGGGCTTTTCTTCTGTACTTCTGTGTGTTCAAATATGGACCTTGTTCCAAAAAGGTCCAAAAAGGTTGAGTTGTGGTTCCCTGTAATGTCAAGAAATCTGTTAATGCATGAGACCCGGAAGATGTTTGAAAGTGACTAGTGAGAATTGGGTTGGTTGCTGTAGGATATTGTCATTTAAATTATTAAGTGAATATATTTATATATTTAAAAATTAGATGTAGGTAAGCCTCAGAAATGGGAAAATGGAGATAAATCTTAGGAGAGATTTTTGAATCTTTTACTTAAGACTGTGTTCAAAACTTTGTCTATTTGCTATTTATTATTTTGATATATTAATTGCTAGTGAGATTAAGACATTTTTGACACATCCTCTTCATTTAAGGTCATGGATGTTTTGTATCATTCTTATATAAGCATATTTGTAAGACTTTTAGAGGTATTCCTTTTTTAGTCCTATTTTTTTTTACTAGGGAATTATGACTCATTTTGGCACTTAGCTTTTGTAGCTTACTACCGTATGACATTTTATATCTTTGCAAAAACCAAGTAATTAGACCATTCATCACAATTTCCATACTTAAAAAACTAATACTAAGTTTTTACATGTTATCAATAAAAGTAGCATTTTAACAATTATCCTTTCCACATTATTTGATAAATGCTATTGGTTTTGTCTGTTATTTTTATAAATATATAATTTGCTTTAATTACTTAAATGTTCCTTGAGCCTTAGAACTTAAATCCTGATGAGGGTTTTACTTTTTAAAATACTGAAGTTTATTATTTATGCATGTTTTACAGAAAAATGAGTGGCTTTTAAAAGATCAAAATTAAAGGCTTAAACATGGAATCTCTAGGACATATAAAATATGAGTAGAACTGTGTATTTATAAGATGTTAATGTAAGACTTCAGGCCTTGTAATATCTTAAAGGAACCACTTCACTGTAAGGGAGCAGTTTGTCTTTCTACCTTTCCAATTGTATTGAGATTTTGCCCAGTATGTCTTTTTACTTAAACACCTTGGTGAAAGCTATCCAGCATCCTGTTTTAAATCTCCTTTGTTGCACTTACCATAATTACTTTCAGATCTGTTTCCATTCTCAGAAACTGAAACTGTAAGCTCATGTGAGTGGGGAATCCGACTTGTTTTATTGCATGTGAGCTGAGCACTGTGCCTTGTGTCAGTAGTCAGTGGTGTTCCTTTAGTCCTTGTTATGTTAATAAAAAAGCTTTGGTTTTTGCAAGACTTTGTTTTTAGAGATTCTGGAAAGGAACATATTAACCAAAAAGAAGAGCTGACTTCAATTTTACTTGTCTTGAAAATAACTGACTACTAAAGGGATGTCAGGGAACATTAGTGAAAATGGAGAACTTAAGGAGTTAAAGTTTTAGCTGTTTTTTTCAAAGGATATTGTCCTTCAAAATCTTTACCTTGCATTTTTGTTACTGTGATTTAAGATGGTTGTAATTATCATTGATTGATGATACCTATCAAAAGGCAACCCTAACCAACCATTTCTGCTGGATTCTGAATGCCGAGAAAGAAAAACTGAGAAATTTGTGAACTATTACAAGTCGTCTGTAAAATGAGATAATAATATCAACTTCACAAGGTAATTTAGGCTTTCGTGAAAACTAGAGTGTGAAAATGCTTAGTAATGTGCTGGGCACACTGCAGGTGCTCTACAAATAACTACTGATAACTACTTTTTTTCATGAGTAATTGTACATTTTCTTTCTTCCTTCCTTTCTTCCTTCCTTCCTTCCTTCCTTCCTTCCTTCCTTCCTTTCTTTTCTTTTCTTTTCTTTTCTTTCTTTTCTTTCTTTCTTTTTTTGTTTTCTTTTGTTTTGAGACAAGATCTTGCTCTGTTGCCCAAGCTGGAGTGAAGTGGTGTGATCTTGGATCACTGCAACCTCTGCCTCTTGGGCTCAAGTGATCCTCCCTCCTTATCCTCCTGAGTAGCTGGGACAACAGGCGCACATCGTCACACCCAGCTAATTTTTGTATTTTTGTAGAGATGGGGCTTCACTTGGTGTTGAATTCCTGGGCTCAAGCGATCCACCCACTTCGACCTCCCAGCGTGCTGTGATTACAAGAGTAATTGTAAATTTAAAATGAATTTCTTTCCCATCCCAAACCAGTATCAAAATGCAAATATAGTAAATTACTTTTTAAAAGAGAGATGTTTAATGGCAGTTGTTGGTAGTCTTTTGAGTCTTTAAGTGGGTATATTATAGAAAAACAACATATCTCTGCTTGGAGGGAAGATTTAACTAAAAACAAGAAAAAGAATAGTAGATGAACCATGATTCTTTAACATACAGGTTGCAAACTAGTGACCTGTCAGTTGGATTTGGCCTGTAGGCATGTTTTTGGCTTATAATGTAATTTTTTAAAAATTAGTGGCCAACAATTAAAAATTGGGAGAGTTTTCAAAAGAAAATGCAGATTTCTGACTCATCTTGAAAAATGGTAAGATGGGCAGCACAGGGCCTGTATTCCCAATTGCAGCCCTCAGTGGAGCTAAGTAGGCTGTTCTCCCTGCCATCTGCCCGGCTCTCAGTTGCCATCACTCACTGCATTTGGACTCTTTCTTCATATAGTGAGCCGAGGGGGGAGTGATAGTCTCATGTTCCTATCAAAAGAGGGAAACCTAAAATAAGGCCATTTTTGTTTTTGTTTTTGTTTTGTGAGACGGAGTTTCGCTCTTGTTGCCCAGGCTGGAGTGCAATGTGAAATCGGCTCACCGCAACCTCCGCCTCCCAGGTTCAAGCGATTCTTCTGCCTCAGTCTCCCAAGTAGCTGGGATTACAGGCTTCCGCCACCATGCCCAGCTAATTTTTGTATTTTTTAGTAGAGACGGGATTTCACCATGTTGGCCAGGTTGGTCTTGAACTCCTGAGCTCAAGTGATCCACCCGCCTCGGCCTCCCAAAGTGCTGGGATTACAGGCATGAGCCACCACACCTGGCCAGGCGATTTGTGTTTTAAGAAAAACAAGAAAGCATGTAATTCTTTGCGAAAATAATGAACATTTCTATTTATATCTGTCAAAAGTCCTGTTTCTTAGGAGTTAAGACATAATTCATAGCAATTAATATATGTGGAGAAGATACGTAATGAAAAACTAACTAGAAGAGGAATTCAGACATTGAAAGGGATTATTTTAAAGTGAGAATAAAATTAGTAGTGCCGCTGTGAGGAAAATAATCTTCACGTACTTACGTATGATGAGAAACTTCCTAAGTGTCTAGAGATGGCAAGAAACTTTGTATGTTTTGCATGACAGTAATTGTAAATATGAGCTTATCTGGAAATATTGTTTGCATAGATGTTAAAAATATGGGCAGGACAATGTGTACTAAAATGCTGAATTCTAGTGAGGCTGACATAAGCTTATTTTTTAAATTCTTTAATTTTTGTTTTTATATATTTTTTGAGACAGGGTCTCATTCTGTCACCCAGGCTGGAGTGCAGTGGTGCTATCACGGGCTCACTGGAGCCTTGACCTCCCCACGCTCAGGTGATCCTCCCACCTCAGCCTCCTGAGTAGTTGGTGGCGTGCGCCACCATGCCCAACTGATAGTTTGTATTTTTTGTAAAGATGAGGTTTCACTGTGTTGCTCAGGCTGGTCTTGAACTCCTGGGCCCACTCAAGCCATCCACCCACCTTGGTCTCTGAAAGTTCTGGGATTACGGGTGTGAGCCACTGTGCCCAGCCTGATAGAAGCTTAGAGATTAATATCACCTAGTTAGCTCTGTTTGTGTATGGTATCTGTGTGAATTTTGACTGTTTCTCCCCTCTCTTCTTTAGTCATTACCCCTGTTTTTGGTTCATTCCTATCAGTAAACAATCTCTGGTAGAGACTTGGTAAGAAAACTCAACCATTCCCTTAAAAAAAGTCAGCCTCTACCCCTTCCTTAGCCAGATGCTTCAGGGATGGTCTGCTTGCAACACTTCCTGTCCTTCACCTTCTTTCAACTGTTTAACCTGCCTTATTCTTTTTTTTGTGAGACGGAGTCTTGCTCTGTCTCCCAGGCTGGAGTGCAGTGGCGCATGTTGGCTCACTGCAAGCTCTGCCTCCCGGGTTCACGCCATTCTCCTGCCTCAGACTCCCGAGTAGCTTGGACTACAGGCACCCGCCACCATGCCCGGCTAATTTTTTGTACTTTTTTAGTAGAGACGGAGTTTCATCATGTTAGCCAGGATGGTCTCGATCTCCTGACCTTGTGATCTGCCCCCCTCCGCCTTCCAAAGTGCTGGGATTACAGGTGTGAGCCACCGCCCCCCACCCTTGCCTGATTCTTATTCTCTTGTCCACCACAGTTTGCATTCCTCAGGCCATTTTTGTCTGCGTCGTTGAGGGCCTCCATTGTCCAGCCCCATCTCCTTTACTCTCTCAGTAGCATTTGGCACAGCTGGCTCTCCTGTGCCAAACTCTTAGCCGCTGTGACACAACTCTGCATATAGCCTTCCACCTCTTTCAGCACAGTCCAGATGGTGGTGAGGGACGCTCCAGATCAGGGCTGAGGATGGTGTCTTGTTGGCTTCTGCCCTTACCCTGAATCCCTTAAGCCCTGTGTACAGTGAGTATCATAATTCTGGCCTTATATACTGTACCCTACATTTTGGGCTAATTTATGAAAGGATAAAAAATAGGACTTGGAAAGTAAAAATAACCCATGTTAAAGAATCTGAACTACATTAGTACTTTTTGCCTCTATACTGCACATACAAATGCTTGAATGACTATGATGTAAAGGAAAGGGAGAAGAAACTAAAAATTTGACGTGGGATGTCACATTCAAATAAGCAGTTTTTTCCCCTTTAGAACATTTGCTTATAACCTAGGTCATTTAACCAGTTGAGGTTCAAGTAGCTCTCAGATCAGCTGGTGCAAGCTTGAGGGAGAAAAAAAAAAAACCATCCTTACAGATACTTCTCATTCATTAACCTCGAATGTTAGCTTTAATCAGTTTAGGAATTTGTATGCATTTTAGTAACTCAACACCAACTTGTCAGAAGTTAGCTGAATTTTAGATAATTTCTTTCATTCCAGCCAAAAATAATAATCACAGACATGTTTAAAAAAAAAAAAGGAGTTAATTGGGAGGCTGAGGCAGGAGGATTGCTTGAGCCCAGGAGTTGGAGACCTGCGTGGACAACGTAGTGAGACTCCATGTCTCCAAAAAAGACAAAGATTAGCCAGGCATTGTGATACATGGCTGTGGCCCTATCTAGGGATCTGCACTCTAGCCTGGGCGACAGAGCAAGACCCGGTCTCAAAAAAAAAAAAAAAAAAAAGACCCTAAGCCTTTTTTTACTGCATATATTCCTATCCATTCTAGGAAAAGTCAGTTGTCAAATCAAAGTGAAAAATTGTTTTCTTTAAAGTGAAGTCAGATGGGTAGAATAAAATATACTGATGTTACTGCCATAGTCACAATTCTAAAGCACAACATAATTGTAATAATGTCACAAGCTTACCAAGGTTGCTACATGAAACAGAAGAAAATTAAATTTGGTGTTATTTATTTTTATAAAGAGACAGCATCTCACTTTGTTGCCCAGGCTGATCTCAAACTCCTGGCTTCAAGCAGTCCTTGGCTTCCACAGTGTTGGAATTCCAGGCATGAGCCACCCTGCCTGGCCATTATTATCTTTAATAACAATTTACATCAGCCACATTTTTCTTTATGGTTTTTACTTTTGATGTCAAACTTAGACATTTTTTTCCCCATTACAGTAGTGTTTTCCAGTTCTTTTATAGTTTTACATTTTATATTTGAACGTTTTATTTATCTGGAATTAGTTTTGTTGCATAACGTAAGGATCCGACTTAATTTTTTCCCAAATCGTTGGCAAATTCTTTCACCACTCTTTATTGATTTGAGATGTTACTTTTATTATATTCTCATATATATTTGGATCTACTTTTGGTCTTTTGTGACCTATCTCTTGACAGTGGAATCACACTGTTTATATCAGTATAGCTTTGGGTACATTTTAATACTTGGTAAAGCAAATTTTTCTGACTTTTTCAAAAGTCGAGGATATTTGTTTATTTTTCCAACTGTCTTTAGAAATGTTTTATCTGATTCTACTGAAAAGTCTGCTAATATTCATTGACTGATTGATTTGATTTGGAGAGGACTACCATCTTTACAGTATATAGTTTACTAATTAATAAATTCGCGTTTCATCTTTCACAAGTCTTCTTTTTTGACTTTCAGTAAAGTTTTGTAGTTTTTCTCATGTGTTATATTTTTGGGTGCTATTGTGAATGATACTATTTTTCCACTATATTTTCTAACCAGTTTTGTTAATACATACACAGCTTACTAATTTTTATTAAATCATTCAACATATTTAACTTCTTTTTCTAATAATTTTCAGTTTATTCTCATAGGGGATTTAAAATATATCATCTTTAAATAATAATAACTTTGCTAAATCAGTTTTAATATATTCACAATTGGGACTTAGTAATATATGGGTTTGGTTAGTAGTTTTGTATCACATAGTTTTCTTTTATTTTGAGACAGAGTCTTGTTCTGTCGCCCAGGCTGAAGTGCAGTGGCGCGATCCTGGCTCACTGCAACTCCACCTCGTGGGTTCAAGTGATTCTCCTGCCTCAGTCTCCCTGGTAGCTGGGACTACAGGCACCCACCACCACACCCGGCTAATTTTTATATTTTTAGCAGAGATGGGGTTTCGCCATCTCCTGATCTCAAACTCATGATCTCAAGTGATCCACCCACCTAGGCCTCCCAAAGTGCTGGGATTACAGGCATGAGCCACTGAGCCCAGCCACACATGATTTTCTTTATAGACCCTATTTACAAATTTATGGTCTGAGGTACTGGGGATTAGGACTTTAATATATGAATTTAATTCATTTATTAAGTGCAAGATTGGTGCAAGGTTGGTGTTTGATGATTTCCTCAGTCTTTATTTTGTGACCACCAGTGAATAACCCAAGTATTTGTGTTTTTAAACACCTTTATTTGGTCAAGTATGTCTCATGTCTATAAAAAGTTTTGAATTTATTTTAGCTTAATGTTTGTAGGTGTTTTTTTTTTTTTTTTTTTTTTGCTATTCTAATTATTTTATTTGTTTGTGTGGGTTTAGAATAGCAGAAATTTATTGTCTCCCAATTCTAGAGGCTGTACTTCCAAAATCAAGGGATCCAAAATAGGAGTGTCCGCAGAGCCATGCTCCCTTTAAAGGTACCAGGGAAGGATCTGCTTCTGGCCTCCTTCCTAACTCCCGGTAGCCTCAGGCGTTCCTTGGGTTTCAGATGGCAGTTTTATCCCTGTCTCTCCCCACATGTCTGTGGTTTCATATCTAGATGTCTCCCTTTTTATAAGGATGGTATAGTCATATAGGATTAGGCCCTACCCTGATAATCTCATTTTAACTTGATTACCTCTGTAAAGACCCTATTTACAAATTTATGGTCTGAGGTACTGGTGGTTAGAACTTGAATATATGAATTTAATTCATTTTTATTATTTTGAAATCATTTCATACTTAGAAAAGATGTAGGAATACCATTGTGAATGCCCATAATCTTCATACCCACATTCACCAGTTTTTAACATTTTCCCATATTTGCATTATAATTCTCTGTTTCTGTCTCTTCACTCCTACCTGTACACACACACACACACACACACACACACTTTTAAGAGTGAGGTTGTATATATTATGCCCCTTTACCCTTACTATTTCAGTTTCCTTTTTTTTTTTTTTTTTTGAGACGGAGTCTCGCTCTGTCGCCCAGCCTGGAGTGCAGTGGCAGGATCTTGGCTCACTGCAACCTCCACCTCCCCAGTTCAAGCAATTCTCCTGCCTCAGCCTCCCGAGTAGCTAGGACTACAGGCGCGTGCCACCACGCTGGGCTAATTTTTTGTATTTTTAGTAGAGACGGGGTTTTGCCATGTTAGCCAGGATGGTCTCGATCTTCTGACCTCATGATCCACCTGCCTCGGCCTCCCAAAATGCTGGGATTACAGGTATGAGCTACTGTGCCCAGCCTTCAGCTTTCATTTTCTAAGGACATGGATATTCTGTGTAATCATTCTTCAGTTATCAAATTCAGGGAGTTTAACATTGAGGCGGCACTTTGATCTGCAGTCTGTATTCCAGTTTTGTCAGTTGGCCCAACTGAGGTGTTTTTTTTTTTTTTTTAAAGCATTTTTCCCTTCCAGTGGAGGATTCAATCTGGAGTCACATATTGCATTTGGTTGTCCTGCCTCTTTAATCTCCTTCTCTCTGAAGCAGTTCCTTAGCCACCTGTTGTGTTTCATGACATCAACATTTTTGAAGAACACCAGGCCAGTTATTTTCTAGAATATTCCTCACTTTGGGCTTGGCATTTTCTCATTATTAGATTCAGGTGATGCATCTCTGGCCAGAAGTCTACATAAATGACGACGTGTCCTTCTAGGGTATCAGAAGCATACTATGTCTGTCCTACCTGTCATTGGTCATGTTAATTTTGATTACCTGGTCAAGGTGTTTTCCAGTTTCTCTTCTCTATAATTACTGTTTTCCCTCTTGTAACTAGTAAGCAGTCTGTGGGGAGAAACTTCAAGACCACACAAATTTCTTATTCCTCATAAAATTCACTGCTCCCCTGCAGATTTAATTGGTCTTGACTATTTATAGTTGTAGAATGGTGATTTTTCCACTTTCATCACTAGTTCTACATTTATCATTCTGAATTCTGTAAGAACCCTTCTTACTCCCTTATGTATGTATTTGATTTATCTATTTAGTTGTCATCACTATGGAGTGATAGACTCCATTTCGTTCAATGAGTTATAGTCCTTATGGATTTTTTTCATCAGGGTCTCACTCCTGTTGCCCAGACTACAGTGTGGTGGTGCGATCACAGCTCTCTACAGCCTTCACCTCCCAGACTCAGTTGATCCTCCCATCTCAGCCTCCCAAGTAGCTGGAACTACAGGTGCACACCACCAAACCTGACGAAATTTTTTTTTTTAAAGTATAAATGGGGGTTTCACCATGTTGGCCAGGCTTGATACTCCTGGGCTCAAGGGATCTGCCTGTGTCGGCCTCCCAAAGTCCTGGGATTACAGGCATGAGCCACTGTACCTGACCAGCCCTTATGTTTTCTGAGGTTCATGTTGTCCCAGATTTTGATAGCGGGAGTCTCTTCATTCCGGCTCTCGTGTCCTTTGGATATGGCCTTGTCATTTTTTCTTCCCTTTAAAAAAAAATAAAGAGCACTTCTTTATGCCATAGTGATGTTCCAGGCTTCTATAGGACCTTCTTTGCCCCATCCCCAGAATCAGTCATGTCTCTAAGGAGCCCTGGTTTCTGTTAGTGGGATTCAATATATAGAAACCAAGATCTGGGTCTTAGGTGTTCTCATTGATACTGGGGTGTCATTGGTTCTAGCCACTTTCAACAAATGTATCTAGGAAATAGACTATTATTTTTTAACATACTATCTTTAAAATCATTTTTAGTTTATACTAATACTTCTAATTCTAAACCAACCCCTCAGGATTTTTTTGGCCTTTCCCCAGTCCATTTCATTCTAATTTCATTTCCAGTTTATTTTTAATTTAAAAAAATTGAAGTATAATTTATGGATTTGTGTATTTAGTGAAATGCATAGTTCTTTTTTGACTTACTTGTTTATCTGACACAGAATCTCTCTCTCTCATCCAGGCTGGAGTGCAGTGACATGATCATAGCTCATTGTAGCCTTGAACTTCTAGGCTCAAGCGGTCCTCCTGCCTCAGCCTCCTGAGTAGCTGGGGTTACAGATGTATGCCACCATGCCTGGCAGATTTTTAAATTTTTTGTGTAGAGACAGAGTCTTGCTATGTTGGCTAGTCTGGTCTTGAATTCCTGGCCTCAAGCAATTCTCCTACCTCAGTCTCCCAAAGAGCTGGGATTACAGGCATATGCCACCATGCCCAGTCCCCATCTTTCTTATGTATTCCGTTTAATCTGTTTTGACAGTGCATACGCTTCTGTAATCTCTATCAAGATACTGTTCTATAGTTGTGGTTTTTTTTCCTTTTGAGACGGAGTTGCACTCTGTTGCCCAGGCTGGAGTGCAGTGGCACTGTCTTGGCTCACTGCAACCTCTGCCTCCTGAATTCAAGCAGTTTTCCTGCTTTAGCCTCCCTACAAGCTGGGATTACAGGCGCACACCTCCATGCCCGGCTAATTTTTGTATTTTTAGTAGAGACGGGGTTTCACCATGTTGGTCAGGCTGGTCTTGAATTCTTGACCTCAGGCAATCCACCCACCTCAGCAGAACTCATTTGGGCCTGTTGTTTTCTGTTTTGGAAGGTTACTGCTTACTGATGCAATATCTTTAATAGATATAGGCCTATTTGGATTATCTATATCTTCTTGTGTGAGTTTTGGCATATTGTGTCTTTTAAGGAATTGATCCATGTCATCTAAATTATCAAATTTTTAATCATGTTTGTTCATAATATTCCTTTATAATCCTTTTAATGTACATTTAGAAGGGATCTGTAGTGATCTTTTTTTTCATTTCTGATACTAGCTATTTGTGTCATCTTTTTAATTAATTGGCTTAGCTAAAGGCTTATCAATTTTATGATCTTTTCAAAGAACCAGCTTTTAGTTTTTCTTACTGATTTCCTATTTTCAGTATCATTGATACTATTATATTTTTATTTCTTTTATTCCACTTACTTTGGATTTAATTTGCTCTTTGTTTTCTATTTTCCAAAGGTGGAACTGTGAGCTTTGGTCCATTCAACTTATTTCATGTAACGTCAATTCACCGAAAGAGTTAAGAGATTTGAAGCAATGGCCTGAGTTTGAATCCTAGTTCTCCACTCATTGACAAACCACTTGTCCTGTCTGAACCCTATCTCCCATAAAATGGAAGAAGGATATTACTTAAGTTATGAGATTGCTTGAAATTCAGTTACAATGTGGGTGAAAACTGATTTTAAACTGTGAAGTGCTACAGTTTTGATATTATCACTTCCTTAAATGTACAAAGATTATTTCTTTACAATCACCATTGGAATTTTGCCTCAATTTATGGTCAAACTTTGTCTGGTTTTCAGTTTCCAGAATTTCCATCTCTCACCTGCTACCCAAATCAGGATGGCTACCAAACCTGCCCATCTTCAGTAATCTTTCGTTTCTCTGATTCATCACAGGTTACTTATAGGGATCCAGTTATCTTCCCTGAATGTTTCTCAGTATTTGAATTGTAAATTATAATCCTGTCTTGGAACAAAAGAACTTGAACTCATATTGAGTCCTGTGCTCACCTATCTGTTTTGATCTTCTTTTATTATGAGTCGTTCATTCATTGTGAAAAATCTCATTTCAGTGATAGGGAAGGCAAAAAAAATCAGTCTCCTGACTTTTTTCCTCTCCTGTTTTATTAAAATTATAAAATATGCATAACATAAAATTTACCATCTTAACCATTTTAAAGTATACAATTCCAGTTGCATTAAGTATATTTACAGTGTCATGGAATTATCACTACTATGTATTTTCAGAACTTTTTCATCATCCCAAACAGGCCCCCCTCCCTTTTTTTTTTGAGACAGGGTCTCACTCTGTCACCCAGGCTGGAGTGCAGTGGCACAATCATAGCTCACTGCAACCTCCACTTCCCATGCTCAAGCGATTCTCCCACCTCAGCTTCTCAAGTAGCCGGGACTACAGGTGCGTGCCATCACACCTAGCTAATTTTTGTATTTTTATTTTGCCGAGATGCGGTTTTGCCATGTTGCCCAGTCTGGTCTTGAATTCCTGGGCTCAAGTGATCCTCCTGCCTCAGTCTTCCAAAGTCCGGGGATTACAGGAGTAAGGCACCACACCCGACCTCTTTTTTTTTTTTTTTTTCTCTTTTTTCTTTTTTTAAGAGACAGGGTCTTATTCTGTCGTCTAGGCCTCAGCTCCTGGCCTCAAGCGATCCTCTCCCCTCAGCCTCCCCAAGTATTGGGATTGCAGGTGTGAGCCAGGACGCCTACCCGCAAACAGAAACTCTTTAC